>NW_025791814.1:510389-680518 GCF_000001405.40 Homo sapiens | reverse complement strand
GGGATTCCTTTTAATAAAATATTTTCTCTCAGTTGTTAGTTGGTTGGCTCAATATTTGTTGGTGGAGTAATGGCATTAAAAACGGATTGAAGTTGATCGAAGAGGGATCAGGGTTGCACAGAAAGGCTGGGAGGGATGGGGGAGCTCTTTTAGGGCATTTTGGCAGAAAGCAAAGGAGATGCGGGACCCAGTAGCCTAAGCAGCACCCCCTCTCTTTTGTTCATGTTTGTTTATTACCGATCTTTTTCTGATTTATATTTTTAAAGCTCTTATATCCTAGGAAGTTTTGTTTGTTGCCTCCTTCACTAAGCTTCCTACAATGTGGAAGAATTAAGGCCATATTTAGTGACATTAGAACACAGGAAGCAAATAAAACCTGCTTCTCATCCTCCAGAGATTCACAGCGCAGTGTGAGGAGGGGCATGGAGGGACGTAGATGTGGGTAATTAACATCGACAGAGAGATTACGCTGTGTGTGAAAATAGAATCTCTGAGTCCTGTGGGAGCGGAGGGGAGAGAGGAATTGGTTCTATCTGGGAAATCAATGGAGGCTTCTTAGAGGAATTGTTGTTTGATCTGAACTTTTGCCTTCAGAATCTAGACGGACCTTAATTAATGTTTAGTGAATGGATTAATGAATAGAGTGTTTTTTTGCTTTCTGCTTTTGGGTTGTGTGTGCGAAGGGGAGGTGAGCGGGCATCAAATGTAGGAGGAACGGCCCAGAAGCATGACAGTTGATAATTAGTCATTGTGTGTTAAGAGCTCATTAATTCTAATAAAGATATTGGAGATGGATCATACGTGAAAATAAAGCACCCCAAATGCATAATGCAACTCAATAGAAACAAACTGCTAAAGGCTATCGACACTAACATTATAGTACTATGCAAGTAAGGACAGGTTTTTTGGCCATATTTTTCCATAGCATCTAGGAAAAAATAGAAACGTGAAAATATTTGTGAGTACATGGGAAAATGATTTTATGTTAATAAAGCCATTAGGTAAAACGAGACACACCAGGAATGCCCTGGGTCTTATCTGCATATAGAGACTATGCTTTCATCTTAATGAAGGTATCTGGTCCATATTTTCCCTTTTCAAAAATCTCAGGAATTGTCTTTTTTTCAATTAATAACATCATAATATCCCTTCTCATCTTATAAGAAACAGAGATACACAGGACCAACAACAAAAAACATCCTTGCTCTTGATCTGTCCCTGATTATAAGTGATTTTAGCTGTATTTCATTTCACTGATTCTGTTTGCAAACAGGCTTTCACACTTGTTTTTAAGAAATAAACTCCTTTTCTCAAATAAAATTTCACTGGAAATCCCAATTTTTCTTTTTTTTTTCTTTTTCTTTTTTTTGAGATGGAGTCTCGCTCTGTCGCCCAGGCTGGAGTGCAGTGACACAATCTGGGGTCACTGCAAGCTCTGCCTCCCGGGTTCACGCCATTCTCCTGCCTCAGCCTCTCCGAGTAGCTGGGACTACAGGCGCCTGCCACCATGCCCGGCTAATTTTTTGTATTTTTAGTAGAGACGACGGCGTTGCACCATGGTCTCAATCTCCTGACCTCGTGATCCGCCCGCCTCAGCCTCCCAAAGTGCTGGGATTACCAGCGTGAGCCACCGCGCCCAGCCATGGAAATCCCAATTTTTCTAACAAATCTCAGCGATGCTCTGGTGGACCCGGTGTGGACATCTGGGGTCTGGGCCCTCTCGGCCTCCCCAACCACAAGCTTGTCCCATGGAGACCCCTAAAGCTTGTCTGTAAAACATGGGACTCCCTTAAGTAATCACTGGGCTGTGGTCAGCGAGGTTCCATCCTAGTCCCAAGTTTTGTTCTATGAAAGTCTCTGTCTGGGTTTCTTTTCATCCTCTAAAGGACACGTTTTTCTCTTCATTTTACGAGTTGATTTTCCTTTGTGCTGTTTCATCCTCTACTACTTGACCTCATGAAGGAAAGACGGAACCCAGAGAACTAGGTATTGCCCTTCATTGTGTCTGAGACCCCGAATAATAAATTAGAGCAGAAATGTATCATTGTCTTTCTTCTCTCCTCCTTCCCCTCCCTTGTGCTCCATGTTCCCCAGTCTCATCAAGCAATTCTACCTGAGAGGCCTTAAGATCTGATTTGAACACCACGGCCTTGATGACTTTATTAGCAGGCGGTTCAAGGACCACACTGGGAGGAAAGAAAAACAAAACACAACAGAAAATTAAAATAAAGTAAAATAATACCATTGCTCCAGAATTCATTGTATGGCAAACACAGAAAGCACAATATCAAGGCAAATTTTGATTTCATACTTAAAAGTTGCTCGCTTTTAGTTTTGGGCCAAATTCTGCTTGGTGTCAAAATGGGGAAACCAGAATTGTTTTCAAAAGATGAAATATTTCCCAATAATAATTTAAAACTTGGACATTTCACAGCTTTGTGATTGTTAGAGGAAAGTACTTGGGGGAGTGGCGCATTTTGGTTGAAGCCAACAGCTCCGGGTCCTACAGGACAGCGTGATGGGCCTGCTTAGCTTCCTGCTGTGCTTGGCGTGCTGCTGTGCACGGGGTTAGCTTTGGATTCATACAGATGCTGTCATCTCTTTCAACTGGAAATGAAGGAGCACTAACACCCCATCTCTTGATCAAACACGTGACCTCTGAGTGGAGAGGGCAGAAGGGCTCTCAGGAGTGAGTGACCGATGGGAGAGAGGCTATCCCCAAATTATTTGGCTGTCAAGCAGACCTTTACCCAACTGAGTGGCCCCTGCTCTGCCTCTGTGTCAGACAAACACTACATCCATCCCTTTACTCATTCTCTTGCTCCACTGCTCACTCACTCACCTACCACTTAGCATTTATTGAGCGCTCTCTCTGAGATCCAGAGATGAATTCCACCTGGGTCCCACTTCAGGGCCCTCCAAAACCACATGGAAGGAGGAGGACTACTTCATATAATGCGAAAGGTGCTTGGGAAGCGTTGGTTTGTTGGGGCTGCTGTAAGGAAGTACAGCCAGTGACAGAAATGTATTGTCTTACAGCTCTGGAGGCTGCAATTCTGAGATCAAGGAGTCAGCAGGGCTGGTTCCCTCTGAGGCTGAGAGAGAGTCAATTCCAGGTCTCTCCCAGCTTCTGGGAGTCTTTGGTGTTTGGTGATTTCATCTCTGCCTTCATCATCTCAGGGCATTCTCTCTGTGTGTCTGTCTGTGTCCAAATTTCTCCTATTTATAAAGACACCAGGCATATAGGATTAAGGACCCGTCCTACTCTACTATAATTTTGTTTTGTTTAATTACATCTGTGACAACCCTATTTCCAAATAAGGACAGAGGTACTAGGGATTAGTACTTAAGCATGTGAGTTTTTTGGTGGGGGTGGGGAATATAATTCCTATAAAAGGTAGCATTCTCTCCCAGTAATTTCTTCTTGAGGCATTAGATGTCACAAATAAACAATGTTAGTTTTCTCAGAGTTTAGTTACTCAAGAGTGCTGTCCATTTGTGGACATGTTTGCAAGAGGAGAAGGCAGCACCGATCTATGTCATAAATCAGCCTGCTGTCTGTCTGTCTCTCTCTCGACCTACCTCCCTTCCTCACCACATATTGAATAAATTATACTGAGTGATATGATATTTCAGTAGGCCTCCAGGAACTTTGTTCAGTGAAAAGAGGGTTTGATAAGTTGTTAAACAATAAATTAATCAAAGTGCTCAATGCTAAGGGACTTTCATGGGTATCTCTGTGGCCCATGAGAATGTTCTGGAAAGCCAGGGAGAGAAAAAGATGTTTCTCAAGTCATGAGCTGGAGTCTGAGACCTGAAATGGGAGTAGAAAATCCTCTGCCTTTTCATCCGGAAAGTTTGGAATAAGTTAGGTGTTTTGCAGTTCTAGGAGCATTTATTAAGGGGCATTTCCTAAGTGAGGCAGTCCTGTTCTGGGGATGCACAAGGAGGCACCATGCCTCTGGCCTTCAAAGCTGTCACGGCTGGACTTGTTTTTAAAATTCGAGAGCTTTAAATCAAGTTCAGAAATCATTGCCAAAATTTTCTGTGTCCTCTTTACGCATCCCAAAACTGTATTTCTGTGTCAGCCGTTATATTATGTCCTTACAAAAATTAATAAGACCAAATCTTCACCCTGAATTAGATTAGAATCTACCGGGACCGGGTGCAGTGGCTCACGCCTGTAATCCCTGCACTTTGGGAGGCCAAGGCGGGCGGATCACGAGGTCAGGAGATCGAGACCATCCTGGCTAACATGGTGAAACCCTGTCTCTACTAAAAATAAAAAAATAAAAATTAGCCAGGCGTGGTGGTGGGCGCCTGTAGTCCCAGCTACTAGGGAGGCTGAGGCAGGAGAATGGCGTGAACCCGGGAGGCGGAGCTTGCAGTGAGCCGAGATGGCGCCACTGCACTCCAGCCTGGGGGACACAGCGAGACTCCGTCTCAAAAAAAAAAAAAAAAAAAGACTCTACCGGTCAGCTTTGGTTTTCAAAATCCATTGGTAGAGTATTGGAAAACCTTTGAATCTTAGATGGTTTCACATCACCTCTGTAATGACCTGACCTCTAAATATAAGGTCATATTCTGAGGTTCTTGGGGTTAGGACTTCAACATAGGAATTTAGGGGGTCACAACTCAACCCTTAACAGTGTCCCAGTCGGCATCACAGGAAATCAGTTTCCGCTTCTTCTCCAACCATAAAATCGAACATGCTGATGCCCACTTTCATTGTTTTTCGCACATTTGCTGGCTGAATGTTGGACACTTACGTTTATTAAAGGCATGAGGTTCACCATTCAGAGATGTGATGTAAAGTAACGTCTCAGGCTCAACACTGCACTGCAGTGGGTGTCCTTGTAGGGGCTTCTTTATTTGCCTTGAGAATTGGCCACAGCACTTACCTCCAGCTTCTTGCCTATAAATACTTCTCAACCAAGTAGGTGTTTTTTTCTCCCAAATCATGATCCATGTTGACCTTGCAAGGAGACAAAGTCCTGCTTTAAATACTTTCAGGTGTGGTTGGACCTAGACATCTCTCACTATCTTTGAACCAGTTGGTCACCTTGCTCCATTTAGGTGTATCTGAGGTGCCGCGTCTCTCTACAGTCTCACAACCACCAACCTTTAGCATGTTATGTATTTATCTGCCTGTCATTCCCACCTGACTTTGAGCTTCTCAAGGGCAAGGATTGGCTCTTATCCATCCTGTCTCCTCTGCACGTAGCACAGTGCTTGCTACATATCTGATACTCAACTAATAATGTACATTAAGAAATGAGATGAATATATTTTTGAAAAATGTGCTTGCATATCTACAGTTAGTTGAGTCTCTACAGTAGGAATGATGCTGATAATTTATTTTTTAACTTCGACAAACACTGTGACTCTTACATCCTGATTGGTAAAGGCTGAATGAAAGTTAAGGAAACTAAGGCTTATTGAGATACAATGTGGCAGGCATTTGCCAGGATCTGAACACACGCCATCACATTTAAACCACACCCTAACTCTGTTTGCATTTTTGTCTGACATTATGGTTGAGGATATAAGTCTAGGGAAATTATTTGCTCAAGTTATTATATGTTATAATAAGGAGAAAATGAACATTTTGTTTTTAGTGCTTATTCACATGAAGCACTGTTCTAAGACTTTAAATATGTATTATCTTATTTAATTCTCCCCTACACCTTTAAGATAGAGAGTGTCATTGTATCCATTTTAAGAATGAGGATACTTAGACACAGGGAATGTAAGTAAATATGCAGATCAGATAGGGAGCAGGTGGCCAGCCAGCATGAAAACCTAGTGACTTGGTATCAAAGGTTACAGTCTTAACTGTGACCACCTCTTGGGGAACCAAGTCAGACCCAGGTATGTCTATCAGAAAAGTCCATCCTCTTGCCCCAAGCTGGAACCCCCTATTTTTCTTATTCACTACTAGATGATACCACGTAAGTTTAGAGATTACAGAGGTAATATTGGGAGAAATCATTACAACCGCCCATGATTTGATGTCATTCTGTACTTTATTTCTAAATCAGAGGATAATTGATAATAGATTAAATTAAAATAAGTAATATAGAAGATTATTTTGGGGTAATTACCTTACATAAAATTATTGAGTAACATAATAGATTACTTTTTAAAAATATATCACTCTATATCATTGCCCTGGATAGCAAGCAAGATACCTGCTCTTCAAATGTAAAGAATGTTTTTCAAGGCAGAGCTCAAGAAATATGTTCATAAAAATGAACACTTGGTGATAAATGTCATCATCCTGCAGAGTGAAGCAAGAGTTCTGGGGACATGCCTGTGGAGTCTCCAGGTCCACATCAAGGCGGGGTACACACATGGATCACCCCAAGTCTACCCTTTGTGCAGGAAGACTCCCTTCAGCTACCCTGGAGATGTGCACATTTTCTAGTCGAATTTCCTATTTTTCCCTTTCTTACATACAAGAGGAAGTAAAACCTTGACTTGCTTCTGAACTGTCACAAATGACATTTACTTTTTTCCCTGTGGAAACTACTTGAAATAATTAATATCCAAGAATATAATCTTTATGCAACTACTTTACTCCTAGAGAAATTCCAAGGTTAGAAAATGTCAAAAGGAATCTGAATTGATTTTGCCACCTGGGGTCAAATTTTCTATTCTAGTTATGAAAGTCAATTTTCATAAAAAAATTTCACATACTCTAACCTGGGAATATCCTAATTTCAATGAATAAAAAACATATGGCTGCCTGTTTAAATTTTGACTTTTAATGCAGAATGGTGGTATTTAGCTTTTACCTTCTATTTTATAAAATTCTGTTATTCCATAGGAATAAAGTAGATGCAGATTTATCAAGTAAATTTTAAAATATGTGGCCATTTTAAAATGAGATCATACTTGCAGCACATCAGGTATTAGTAACAGAAGATTTATTTAAAAGAAAATCAAATGGATTTCCTTTCAGGGAAACCACTTGAAGAAGCTAGAATATTGAGAGTGATGACATGTTCCAATCACCTAAATAGGTTTTGAAGCTTCATTTTCAAACCTAGATGGAGGAAGGAAGAGATAGAAAAACAGAGGGTTAGATGGAAGGATGGATGGATGGATGGATGGGTGGATGGATGGATAGATGGGTGGGTGGGTGGGTGGATGGATGGATGGATGAATGGATGGATGGATGGATGGACAGATGGATGAATGGATGGATGGATGGATGGACAGATGGATGGAGGGTTGGATGGATGGATGGATGGATGGACAGACAGGTGGATGGATGGTTGGATGGATGGATGGATGGATGGATGAATGGATGGATGAATGGATGGATGGATGGACAGATGGATGGATGGATGGCTGGTTGGATGGATGGATGGATGGATGGACGGACGGATGGATGGACGATGGGTGGATGGATGGATAGATGTTTGGATGGGGAAATAGATAGGTGGATTCATTTCCTTTAACAATGCTTATATGTTGGTTTTGTGCATCAGATCTTGAATTAGGAAATCAGAGAAAGAAACAATTTTCACATATATCCTGGAATATGCAAAATATTTTGTACATATATAGAGCAATGAAAAGGAAATTATTCTTACATGCATTCACACATGCCTGGATTCATCACACACATTGGCAGGAGGTAAGGATAGTTTTGATTATTTTTAAGCCAAGACAATGAGGTAGCGTTTATTCTCTTTACAGTATCCTGAAACAATCTTAGGACCTACAGAATCCCTTTTCACTCAGATTCCCTGCTTTTGCTGACTAACTGCAAGTGAAACATTTTTCCATTGAACTTGTAAAGTTAATTCAATTAAGTGACTTTATTTTAACCCACGTCTGTCCAGGCTTCGGATGACTGTGCCATCCCTCACTGAGGCTGTCACGGTGGTCCCTGGGGCCCTGTGAAATGCCCAAAAGCACATATGCGCACATGCGCGTGCGTGTGCACACACACACACACACACACACACACACACACACACACACAGAGCCTTGTGGCTGTTTTGAAGCACCACCCCCGCCAAAGTCCTACCCAGGGCCATTCCATTTGCAGGTTTCTCTAACCCCAAGTTCTCTCTTCTCCAGGTCACCCCATGCTCTCTCTCCCCCAGGTTACCCCAGGCTCTCTTGCTCTTTCCTTTGAGTCTCTGTACTTATGTCCCCTCATCAGGATGCCCTTGGCCATCTTATATCAGCAGCATGCCCCCATCACCCATGATCTTCTTTCCCTGCTTGCTTTCTTGTTCCGGACCACTGAGCTAAAGCCCTCGGCAAGAACTGTCTGAACACTACATATAAATCATGACCTGCATGAGACATTTCTGACCACCTTTCCTTTATGTTTCCCTATAGCTTTCATTACCGCTGCACATACCCCATGCTTGCTTATTTATGTGTTGTTTTTTGCTTGCCTTCCATGTGTCTAGAACATTCATGTTGTCTGCTCATTCAGTGAGGCATCTCAGACACCTAGACTTGAAGTGATTCTGTCACAAAATAGTTCAGGGAAATCAATCTGCAAGGAGGAAAAAGATGGATCTTTTATTTATTTTTTTAACTTGACGTCAGCAACTGTCTTATCTGATATTTATTAGTATTTCAGATTCATTGTTCTTTTTTTGTTTTCCCCAGTGGTTTGAATTTTAAAGGAATTTCTTTGTATAAAGTATTTTAAGCACCCTCTTTTATATAAAGTATTAAATCATAACATTGATTTAAAGCCATTTAATTTGTATGACCTTTTAAGCAGCCGTGAGAGCATAAAAGAAGAGTGTATCAAAGCAAAAAGTAAGAACTCTTGAGTCTTTTGAAAATATTTACTTTGAACAGATTGCAGCTCCTTAAATGATGAGGCTTTGGAATCTGGGAGGTGGTCAGACCCCAGCTCTGCCTACTTGAGGCCACCCACATGTCGCTGGACCCACTGTGTGTCCTCCCCAAGCCCAGCACCTCATCTTCAAAGTGACACCCACAATAGACAGCTGTGCAGAGCATTGAGTGGGATGCTGGATGCAGAACCTGCCAAATATCACTGGTTGCTGATTTATCAGTTTAATTGAATTTCTGCTGCAAAAGAAGGAAAGGAATGGGGGCAAGACCTGCATTTTCCATGACAAGATTTGTGTTTTGATGGCAGGGAATGTGCTGCATGCCACCCACCTGTGATGCAACCACTCAGGAATGGGGACCAAACCTTTTTGCCCATCTCTCCTCCTTCCTTAAGGCTGAGCTGAGAGCTCTGGGTTGGAATTTCCTGTTGGAATCTGCTCTGTTCTTCCTTCACCCTTGCCCTGAGCAAGCTCACTGAGCAGCTGCCTCTCTGAGCCGGGAGCTGGGCCCAGTGGTGGAAATACTGACGTGGTCCCTGCCCATCAGTCTGCAGTGCAGAGGGGAAACACACCCAAGGCTACTGTGGGACCCTGGGGTGTGCTGGGTGCTGGAGAAGGACCGTGCAGGAGCTTGGGCATGTGGCTATAAGAAAGGACAGGTAAACGGAGACAGGGGTGAATGAAGAATGAGACAGGTGTGGTGGCTGGAACGGTGTACCCAGCAGAGGGAACCTGATCCCAGAGGGTGCATAATGCGCCTGAGACCGGCAGCAGCCTTGGGGAGAGGGAGGCAGATTCCAGGCAAAAGGCAAGCTGCAGGTGCCAGCAGGAACTGTAAACCACCATGTCCTGCAAGCCTTGGTGGTTTTGGCTCTGCTGGTGTTGACGAGACGCCAAGAAGGAGATTGTAGCTGGAGAGAGACAATCACGTTTTCAGTGTAAACTCTTATTCTGCCTGAGGTGTGGAAAATAGTCGTGGGAACGAGGCTGACCAACACCAGAAGCAGGGCACTCCTTGTACATAGTTCAGTCGAGGGGAGTCTAGGGAAGCCTGAATGGATGGTTGGATGGATGGATGGATGGATGGATGGATGGATGGATGGATGGTTGAATGGATGGATGGATGGATGGATGGATGGATGGATGGACAGGCAGGGCTGAGAGATGTTATGGCAAAGAGGCATGTAGCTTTGATGGACACCACGGATGTGGACAGAGTGAAGAAAACAGGGAGGATGTTGTGACTCCCTTATCGAGCGATGGGGTGGGTGGTGGAAACTGTGGCTCTAGGAGGGGCCTGAGGAAATGTGGGTTTAGGGTGGAGAAAGGGTGGTTTGGTATTCCATAGGTGGATTCTGAAGTGTCCTGGGATTTCCAAGTGAGAGGAAAACTGTCTCTATAGATGAGAAAAAATATTTTCTTAGAGCATTTTAATGTCAAATAGAACTTATTTTAGGTTATTTGTCATTTTAAATTAGCCAAGCACTTGAGTCTTTCTATAGGGTGGATATGCAATTGCTCAGAATTGTCTTATCATGACACAGAATGGGATAGAGCATTTACTTTCAGTGTAAACTCAGTTCAAGACACCACCTGTTATCAGAGCTCCCAAAAGACAACTTGTAGACAACCAGTCAACTGAAGGGCTGAAAATTATTTTTTGTGAATATTTAAAAACTTTTTTTAACCTGTAGTTTTGTTTATCAACAAAAGTCAAATTGAGAAAAGAGAGCTTATCAAATCTGTATGTGACTTAAACAATAAATGGAGTTTCAGTTCCTGGGTAAGAAAATTATTCTAAAAAGAAAACCAAATCAGGAGGAGTCAATGGTGTTTCTTTGTACTGAGTTTGTGTCTGTCGTACAATGACCATGGAATGGTGCACTTGGTTTGGACAAGTCACTTCTGGGGGCAGTGTGGAGCTACAGCAGAGAGCAACTGAGATGTGAGCCCAGGGCAATTGTATAAGGTGTTCAGTTCTTATTATTTCATCATGTTAAGGCATCTCTTGAAATAAACAGCACCCTTAGAGTTAAAGCAATATATCTGTGACATAGAAATTGTTTCTCCAAAGTATTGCTGGGGTCAATGGGAAATAAGCAACGACAAGCCTGTTCCCATAAACTTTATTGCCTCCTGTAACTGACTTTCTAAGTAAATAAAGGTTCTTAGTTTTGCTTTTCTTGCAGAAAGGAAAGAAAGAGGGATACCCGAGGGATAGATAGCCAAGAGTTATGCTAATTCTCTGATATTTTATAATAAAAGAGATTTCATCTAAAAAGAAAAGGAGGTTCTGAAGGTGGTTATGTACATTCTTCCAAACTCAAAGTCACGTCTGGAACATTCTTATATGGAAAGAGCTAAAAATACTTAAAAATTTACCTTGAACATTTCTCATCCAATCATATTATGGTCCAGGCAGGTGCTGATATGAGGGACATGATGGTGCAATATCCTTTGACAAGCAGAAGGGACTGTGAGTCTCTGAGGATGGGATGCAGACCTTTGATCTGCTCCATACCAACTATGAAGGAGGTCCATGTGCTTTTGAAACACATTGTAAGGATCCAAGACTTTGCAGTTAAGGTTGCTCCTAATAAACACAAGCTAATAGTGCAAATATGATTCCTGTGCAAAGGTAAAACTATTTAACGGCCACTAAGAAACAGCACCCTGTTTTGTAATAGTAACATGTAAAACCAATGGCAGATGCATGCCAGCGCCTCTTAGCACTGGAGAGCACAGTGATCACTGCCTTACTGGAGAAACTTCCCAGAGGGGAGTGCCATGGAATGCTTTGAGGAAGAGGAGGGGCTAAAAATGGAAAGCCTAGGCCAGAAGCAGTGGCTTATGTCTGTAATTTTGGGAGGCTGAGGAGGGCGGATCACGAGGTCAGGAGATCGAGACCATCCTGGCTAATACAGTGAAATCCCATCTCTACTAAAAATACAAAAAAATTAGCCGGGGGTGGTGGCACGCGCCTGTAGTCCCAGCTACTCAGGAGGCTGAGGCAGGAGAATTGATTGAACCCAGGAGGCAGAGGTTGCAGTGAGCCGAGATTGCACCACTGCACTCCAGCCTGGGCGACAGAGTGAGACTCCATCTCAAAAAAAAAAAAAAAAAAAAAAAGTGGAAAGCCTGGACATTGCCAAAGACAAAATGTGTCTTTCATCCTGTCCATGAGGAGGCTCTGACTGCTGCTCACCTCGCTGGCTGCTGCTCTGTCTTTTATCCTCTAGGATTCTGAAAGCAGAGACAATGACTTAGCAGGTGAGTTACTGAGGCCAACTGAGCAAAAACAAAGGACAGATGGAGTACCTGGCAGTGGAGGAGTAGGGACGTATAAAGCCATCCCTCAAGGCTTGTGACCTTAAGGAATAGACCAGTTAGTTAGAAAGACAAGATGCACTTGTACAAAATTTACCAACAGTATGAGACTATGGTGCTAGCAAATGTCACAGACATGACGATTGAAGTAGAAGAAATTCTTGGCTCAAGGAAGAGCAATATCCAGTATTTACTGGAAGGAATATTTTAAATTAGTGCTGTTCTAGAAAATTCAGGGCAATGGCTATGCATTATTCTATTTATAAAACATTTCTACACACTCTATGTATAATAATGTATAACAAAATAACAGGCCAGTAATTACTATAATGGAGTATAATATAGTATATTATGAGAACTGGAGGCCAAGTTCTCAGAGGAAGCCACTTTATTCCTTAAGTTAATATGATGAATCTCGCTTTGTGTCTCTTATGCCTTATTTGAGCCACACAGAGGAGGAAAGAGGAGAATCCCAACACATAGTAGATTCTTGAATTTCACCATTAAATATGGGTCAGGACTGTGGCTATGGCTGTGCTTATGTCATGGAGAGCTTTGTGAAATTAAATCAATGATGATTTATGAAGTCATCATCAGAACATGGTAGAAATACTATGGTTTTGGGCACTGAACCACCCCAGTGTTGAAAGGTTTGCTTTTTGGCTTTGAGGTTTAAAAAGGAGCTGTGATATTTTGAGACACAGAGATGATGGATGGCAGCCAGACCAGGTTACCTTACATGGCAGAACTCCTGGAGATGACTAGTGGCATGATTAGAGCATCCGCTCCTGTTTCCACAGCTATGAGGCGGGTGGTCTTCAGATAAAAGGAGAGCCGCATACAGGGTTTCTGTCTCAGGATTTCACCCACGGTTCTTCCTCCAGAGGCAAGGGTGAGCTTCATGTTTCCTTTGCACCAGTAGCAATGACAGCAGAAACAGGCACTGCAATATAATTATACTGGATTTATTCCAGGGTGTATCTGTTATTTATTACTGTATAACAAACTACTTCAAAACTTAGTGGCTTAGAACAATGGCTATTTGTCTAGTTCATGATTGTGTGAACTGGCAATTTAGGCTGAGCTCAGTTGGGTGGTTCTTCTGCTGTCAGCTAGGTTCAGTCATGAGTTTATGAGCAGCTGCCTGTCAGAGAGGTGGCTCTTCTCCTGGGGTTGGTTGCCAGCTATGTGTTAGGAAGATAAGGAGAACTGGATCATTGTTTCCTGTTGTCCAGCAGGCAACCCTAGACTACCTCACATGGTAGCTCAGTAGGTTTCAGAGAGAGAGTGTGCAGAAGCTTAGACTCAGTGCTGGTACACAGCAACTTCTTTCACATTCTGTGGGCCAATGTGAAATACAAAGATGCCCCATGTGGCTAGAGTGGAGAAGAAGACTATGGGACTTGATAGGAGGAGTTGTGAAGATCATTGTAAAGGCTATGATACTTGGAGACATGGAGGATTATGGCTATTTTTGGCATCTACCATACATGGGGTAGATTTTGTCTGAAGGCAGTGTGGCTGGAAGCATTTAGGAAGTGAGAGCTTCACCTGTATGTCCATATAGGGACACTATCAGGAATAGGAAGGTCAGAGAAAAATGGAGCTTAACAGAGCAAATGCCCTAAAGAGACACAGAGGCCAGAGCCACCTGCTTGGAAAGATCAGAGGGATGGAACAGCAGGGCAGGGACTTTAAGCCACACCAGGCAGTGCAAATGCTGCTAACTTTGCAGGGGCTCAGGAACACAGGCCAGGGAAGCACCTTGACCTCCTGGCTCCAAAGCTCTGAGCATCATTCTTAGAAATAGCTCCCCTGCCAGCATATTTTGTACCACTGAGAAAGTGACTCAGGATCAAATCCAGAGCTCTGTTTTTTTTTTCTTAATTAACTAATTGATTTTGACAAATAAAAGTGCTCTGTATTTAAATTATATAACACAATGTTTTGATATATGTATATACTGTGAACTGAGTGCCACAATCAAGCTAACTAATGTATTCAGGCCTCTGTTGAAGTGCCCTAATGGTTCTCTTCAAACTGCTGCAAAAATCTGATAAGCAAAGTTCCTGGCCAGCCCGAAGTTACCTCGAGGGCTCTCATTATCTCCCTGAATCCCACCCCCCGGCCTCACCTACCATGCCATCTCTCACCCCATCCTCTTTTGGCAGATGTCCTTGTCTTCTACACACCTGAAAAGGGGAAGGCATCCAGTTTCATATTCTCATTGCAGCACCTGTGTCAGTTAAGGCTTGGATGGAGCCCTCTGAGTAGCCT
The DNA here is from genome assembly GCF_000001405.40 of Homo sapiens. Taxonomy (NCBI): domain Eukaryota; kingdom Metazoa; phylum Chordata; class Mammalia; order Primates; family Hominidae; genus Homo; species Homo sapiens. Next base: position 666,077 of record NW_025791814.1, on the reverse strand, counting down.
TCACCCCCTTCTCCCTGAATAAGCCAAATAAAAGTGGGTTTCATTTGAGGGAGTGACATGTCCCTGAAAGGCTTGGCCTTGTGGTAAGTCACAAACAAGGCATGAACAATATTCCCACCTTCTCCTCTCTGCTAAGTACTTGCCCTGAAAAAAACTAAGTTCTGCAAAGTGCTCAGAGGGTTTAGGTGTGAACCACCCAGCTGGAGGCAGAGTTATAGCTCTGCCTCTGGGGGCCAGCTCCAGCTGGGAGGTTGATGGGAGCCTCTGACGCTGGGCTCCCCGAGAAGCAAGATCCTAGACAAGAATTTGAGTGTAAGGAACTTCTTTCAGAGGCAGGCCCAGAAAGTATCCTAGGAAATTGGGGAACGGACATGGGAAAGAAAAGAAGTCAGTAGAGAGGGTGTTGTCCAGCAGTTTATTGGTGTGGGAAACTGGGGTTCAGTCCCACCTGGGGCCCCCGAGAGATTTGGTACAGTACACTTCAAATGATCATGTCTGAGATACCAGGAGCCCACCTTATCTATGGCTGAGGTCTGTTCATGCTCTGTCTTGTTTGCTGGCCAAGAGAAGGTTCTCAGATGGAAGGCCACAGGGGTTTTCAGTAGGAGCCCTCTTGGCTGAGACTGAAATGAGGGTACCTCAAAACATTAAGTGAATTTTCTGAGACCATATAGCTGGGAGCTGAGTCTGTCTAATTTTAAAGTCCTTGTTCTTTAACAGGAGAAAAGAGAAAATGGTGACAAATAAGTAGTTTCTTGGATCCAAGACATTGAGAGTGGCTATTTCCTCCTTGCACAGAAGGCTTCTTGATGGAAACCAAATTACTCTGAAAAGTTACTAGTTTTAATATCTTAGCAAATCATTTGATACATTCACGGAAGTGTTTATCAGCAATGTATAATTGTTCTTCTCACTTAAAGAATGTTTGTTTCATGACATTGGAGATCTGTAACACAAAGACCCACTTTGTATGATGAACCCCCGTGGTGTAGCTGCTTACAGGGCCCTCACACACACTCTTTTGGTCCCTGACCACATCTGTTTTAACCTGGTTCTGACTATACCACTGTCCACTGCTAGACAGAAAAGAGGAAGACATGCCTCATTCTCCAAAAACTGGAGGAATGGCATCATTTTCAAGTTTAGTTTTTGTTGTTTCCAAGTATATTTATGTAATGCTGTATTATATGTATATACTTGCCATGAATTAAATACGTCACAAATAAAATCCACTTTTGGGACTCAACAGTATGTAAAAACACAAGTAGTATGAACAGATTTATTTATAAAGTTATGATGAGCCTTTCTGAAATCTTTCTAGCATATCACTGGTGTAAATGTCATGGGAATTGAAAATAATGTATTTGAATTTCACAGTCTTCTGTGAATGGATTTTTTTTTTTTTTTTTTTTTTGAGACTGAGTCTCACTCTGTTGCCCAGGCTGGAATGCAGTGGCATGACCTTGGCTCACTGCAACCTCCACCTCCCGGGTTCAAGCAATTCTCCTGCCTCAGTCTCCTGAGTAGCTGGGATTATAGGTGCATGCCACCACGCCTGGCTAATTTTTGTATTTTTTAGTAGAGACAGGGTTTCACCATGTTGGTCAGGCTTGTCTTGAACTCCTGACCTCATGATCCGCCCACCTCGTCCTCCCAAAATGCTGGGATTACAGCTATGAGCCACCACACCTGGCCCTGTGAATTTTTTAATACTGCATTTCCCAAAAAGAATTTGTCTTTCTCTACTTTTTAAAAAAAGTTTTCCCTGAGTCTATTATAAAGTCATTCTTGACCAGAAAACTCAAGCAAAAAAAGAATGAATTAGTTGACTTGTCCAGATTCTATGTTTAGCAGACATGTGTACCAAGAGTTTGTATTGATTGTTAATACATGATAACACAGAAAGCGCTGAAAAATCTTAACTCTATGTAAAGTGTTTATATATGTATATAAGCACTTAAGATTTTATGTAATATAACTTTTTCTATTCAACCTTTTAAGGAATATCTAATATTTTAAATTACTTTATCAAGCAAAGAAAAAGGACAAGTTTAAAAATAAAAACATAGAAAAGGAAAAAAAAGAGAATTATCCTGTGGTGTTCTCTCATTAACGAAAAATAAAGGTTTCGGAAAATCTGTTAATTTTCCAAATTTTAGATTTTTATGTGCTATTAGATTGGAAAATGACAGATTAAAATTTTGAAAAATTTGTTCATGAAAATTCTAACTTTAAGTTGCTCATGATCTAAATTTTCTTAGCTCTCATGAGATCTGGTTGTTTAAAATAAATAAATAAATAAATTTTCTTAAGGACCCAACTGCCACTAAGATTGTTTAAATGGTAGCTACTGGCATTTTTTGTTATAAGCCGAATTTCTTTCATCAAATCAAGCTCACACATTCACTCAAGTTCTTAAGATACTGTTGAAATGGGAAAAGTCCCTTTGTCCCCCTCTCAGGGTGTGTGATGGGGGTGTGGCTCGTGTTTTCGGTGCCTCACTGCTCAAACTTTCAGGAGAGGGCATACAGACAGGCAGGCTGTGGTGACTCCGACCCCATGGCAGCGTCTAGAGGTGAATGTTTACAGCTCCTGAGGCCCCAGTGTGTGTGTGTGTGTGTGTTTGTGTGTTACTGTGTGCTCTATTGGTTTAGCATGTGCAGGTGGCTTGTGCGTATCAGATCAATTAGACTCCTGCCTTATCACAAAGACAGAGGGCTTTTCTGTATCCCAGGATTTCTTGCTTTGCTGTACCAGAAGAATCAGATCACACCTGGGCTTGGAGAATGAGTGCAAGGTTTTGTTGAGTGGAAGAAGCTCTCAGCAGATGGGGGAGCCAGAAGGGAGATGGAGTGGTAAGGTGGTTTTCCCCTGGAGTTGGGCCGCTCAGCCACCAGGGCTCTCCTCCCTCTGCCTCCCCGAAACTCTGCGGCATTCACCGGTCAATGGCCTGCTGGCCTGCTGGCTTCTGTCGGTGTGCTCTTAGGCCGGTGCATTCCTCCCGAAGTCCAGCCACTTGTGTCTTTTTCCACTGATGTGTTCCTCTCAACATCCAGCTGCTTGTGTGCGTGCCCGCTAGAGTCTCGGGGTTTTTATAGGCACAGGATGGGGGCATGGCAGGCCAGGGTGGTCTTGGGAATTGCAATATTTGGGCACAAAAACAGAAATGTCTGCCTTCACCTAGGTCCGTGGGCACAGGCCTGGGAGTAGAGCCCTAGTCAGGGACCACAACCTCCTCTACCCAACACTTCCCTGCCCGCTTCTGTATCACTATTCCTTCATTAATTAGAAAGTATGCATTTTTTAAAATTATGAAGTGTCTAGGTGTCTGCCAGCATTACTCAATAGGAAACTCCAATAGAGGAGTAAAGTTATTTCTCCAAGGTCAACAAAATTAATAAATACAAAGCCTTCATCACCAGAGCCGTGGTGAAGAGCTCTTTGCACTATGTGTAAGCGAAACATGAAATCAACAATTTATTTACCTTCAGTGTAAATTGTTCATTGAATGTCATTATGTTGTCGATTATTGATTCCTACCGCATGTGACAATTACATGTGCTTCTGCCTTCCCTGCCCTGAGTACCAGGCTGCTTTCAACTCTGGGCAGCAAGGTGGCAAGATAGAGTTGATGGAGTTGCGAATGGAAACAGGAAGATTTGGCATCTGAATCTCGAAAACTCTTGACGAAAATTCTCTTTAGATACAGAGATTTGATAACTTCTTAAAGCGAAGTTTGTTTTGCTCATGACGATCACACCTATCAGCTGATCAATTCTGTTTCCCTTTCAAGGAAAAAAATATGTATCCTGCATCAGCAAGGATTCATGAACTAAAGGACTCACAGAGTAGAACTCTCCACTTTTGAAACTGAGGAGCCAAGGCCCAAAGAGAAAACGTGACCTAGATTTAGTCATTATTTATTGTTTTAAAGGGGGGACAATCAAATTAATGAAGGCAGTTAAAAATACATTGCATTCTTATTAAATACATTTTGTAGGATTTATGCCTGATGATCATGAACATCAAATCTGACTTTCCTGTTGAGCAAAATGAACTATAATCAAGTGGAACGAATTGCTTTGCTATTATCCCTTGTTGTGGATTTGTGTCAGCACATGGTAACTGAGCTGAAATGGGCTTTGTTTGCTTAGCTCTTCTCCTAAGGAGAACAACACCATTTACTCTGAGTTTGTACTGGGTTTCTGTCTACTAACTGCTTATATTGGCCTTACTTTAATAAAGATTTCTATCTCACTCCTTAATACGGCACATGCCAATGGGAAACACATACCTTATGCCTAGCTTTGTTCTATAGCAGAGTTTCTCAACCTCAACCCATTGACATTTTGGGCAAAATAATTCTTTTTCTCGGGGAGGGAGTGGCGAACTGTCCTATGCATTTTTAAATATATTTTTTAAAAAGTTTAATTGACACACAATTATTGTACCTATTTATGGGGCACAACGTAATGTTTTGAAACGTGTATACGTTGTTTAATGATCAAATCAGGATAATTAGCATATCCATCACCTCAGACATTTATCATTTCTTTCTGGGGAACATACAAAATCCTCTATGACAGCTATTTTGAGATGTGCGTACCTTGTTGTTGACTGTAGTTGCCAGACTGTGCAACAGAACGCCAGCACTTCTCCTTTCTCATCGTTAACTTTGTACCCATTGACCCTCCACTCCCCATCTCCCTATTCCTACTCCTTACCCCATTCTATTCACTATTTTTATAAGATTGACTTTAGATTTCACATATGAGTGAAAACGTGGTATTTGAGGGGTTAATATTCAGAATACATAAGGAACTCAAACAGGTCAACAGCAAAAAGACAGCAAAAAAAATTAAAAAGAAGATATACAAATGGACAACAGGTATATGAAAACATTCTCAGCATCACTAATCATCAGATAAATGCAAATCCAAACCACAATGAGGTATCACCTCACTTCAGTTAGAATGGCTATTATCCAAAAGACATAATAAGATAACAAGGGTTGCTGAGGATGTGGAGAAAGGAAACCCTTACACACTGTGGGTGGGAATAAAAATTAGTAAAGCCATTACGGAAAAAAGTATAGCGGTTTCTCAAAAAACTAAAAGTGGACCTACCATATGATCCAGTACTTTCACTCCTGAGTGTACATCCAAAGGAAATGTCCTGTGTATTTTAAGATGTTTAGCATTATCCCTGGCCTCCACCCACTAGATGTCAGTACCACCCACCCTCTCACTCCCAGTTGTGACAACAAAGAATGTCTCCAGGCATTACCAAATGTCATCAGAAGGTCAAAAATGACCCCGGTTGAGAAACACTGTTCTACATACAGTAGGGATTCTTGAATTATTGTAAAACACAGAAAGAGTGCTTTTAAGTTGTTTGAAATTTTATTTTATTAGAATCTATGAAAGTATTTTTAAATTTTTAGCAATACATAATATTTGTACATACTTACAGGGTACATGTGATATTTTTAAGCAAACAAGCAAAGGCCATTTAAGCTCAATTCTCATGTGCTAACTCAAATACAATGATTTGCAATTCCTTATATACACACTACATCACACTACATATATTTTCTATTTATTTATTTATTTTTAGAGAGAGAGAGTCTTGTTCTGTCACCCAGGCTGGAGTGCAGTGGCACAATCTCGGCTCACTGCAACCTCCACCTTCCAGGTTCAAGCGATTCTCCTGCCTCAGCCTCCTGAGTAGCTGGGACTACAGGCACACACCACCATGCCCGGCTAATTTTTTTATTTTTAATAGAGATGGGGTTTCACCATGTTGGCCAGGCTGGTCTCGAACTCCTGATCTCGTGATCTGCCCGCCTCGGCCTCCCAAAGTGCTGGGATTACAGGTGTGAGCCACCGTGCCCGGCCACACACTACATAACTTTTCATCCATTCTCACGTTAGTGTTTGTGTTTTATTTCCTCCTCAAGAATCTATAAAATATAAAAATATTTAATGCATTTAAATTGTTGACAGCAATCTTTGATTTTGAAATACTTTCATGAAAAGCATATTTTCTGGAAGATAATAGCATTGCATTGAATCCTGCTCCTCTTAACTGACTTGCTATAATTATTGCAGAGAATTATTTTCTCTTGAAGAAAGATGGTATTTAAAGTAAGGTATAACTACTGACCTGTGTGCCTCTAGAATGAGAGCAAGTAAGTATACCACCAAAATTCAACTGGAAGTTTGTAGTTTTATGGCTCCTAGAATTTATTCTAGGAGCAATTTATTCCACTATTGCAAGCTAATCTACTTCACATATAATTTAGGGCAAATGAATTATGTCATTAAGGAAACATATTCATTTAGAGTTGTTAAATGCCTTCTAATAGATGCAAGATCTGAAATAATATAAATATGTGCTTATATTAAGAGTCAGGGGCAACAAATTTTAGAGTCTAGAATGTTATAAGAAGGAAGGTCATGTGTTTTATGATTTGATTTAAACTACCCTAGTGATTCAAGTTACCTAGAACCAATAATCAACAGGGTATTTTATATGTGTATGGACACACACACACACGCATACACACACACAGAGAGAGAGAGAGAGTGAGAGAGACAGAGACTTAAAGAAATTGGCCCACACAATTGTCGAGCTGGCATGTCTGTAATCTGTAGGGCAAAGCAAGAGGCTGGAAGCTCAAGAATGATTTCTATTTTTATGTTATGGTCTTGAGTCACAATTTCTCCTCTGGGTGTCTTAGTCTATTTGGGCTGTCACAGCAAAAATACCATAAACTGGGTGGCTTGTAAACAATAGAAATTTCTTCCTCACACTACTGGAGGCTGAAAAATCCAAGAATAAGGCACCAGCACATCCAGTATCTGTTGAGGACCCACTCCCTGGTTCATAGACAGCGCCTTCTTGCTTTATCCTCAGATGGCCAAAGGGGCAAGGGGTCTCTCTCAGGTGTCTTTTAAGAGTGCACAATACCGTTCATGAGGGCTCTCAAATCCCCACCTCCTAATACCATTACCTTGTGGGTAAGAATTTCAACACAAATTTTGGGCAGATACAATAATTCAGACCATAGCACTGAGACTTTTTTTCATAAGGTTCTCAATTGACTGGATTGTAGATGTTAACCATATCTACAAAACACCTTCACAGCAATACCCAGATTCGTGTTTGATGAAATAACTGGGTATTATTACAGCCTAGCCAAGCTCACACATAACACTCACCGTCATATATTTACACATGCCTAGGAAGAGTAAAATAAAGGGCTATCTGGACATTTTCTTGAATTACCAGATTCATAAATACAGTTATGTACCACATAGTGACATTTCAGTCAACATCGGACTACATGTATGACAGTAGTCCCATAAGATTATAATACCGCATTTTATTGTACCACTTTTATGCTTGGTATATTTAGAAATGAAGTACTTAACATTATGTTCCAATTACCTACAATATTTATGCAGTAACATGCTGTATGGGTTAGTAGCTTAGGAGCAATAGGCTACACAGTAAAGCCTAGGTGTGTAGTAGGTTATGCCATCTAGGTTTGCATTAAGCACACTCTGTGGTGTTTGCATGATAATGAAATTGCCTAATGACATACTTATCAGAACATATCCCACTGTTAAGCCATGCACAGTTGTATCATGATGGATGGATGTTCTTCCTATAACTCAATGAAGTAAAATTTTAAGGTTTTAGGTGGTGTGTGTGTATATATATATACATATATATACATACACACACATACACATATATATACACATATATACATGTATATATGTGTGTGTATGTATATATATGTGTGTGTATGTATATATGTGTGTGTGTATATGTGTGTGTATGTATATATGTGTGTGTGTATATGTGTGTGTACATATATATATATAAAATATATATTATATATATTATATATATAATATATAATATATATATAAAATATATATTATATATATTATATATAATATATAATATATATAATTTATATAATATATATAATATATATAATATATATTACATAATATATATAATATATTATATATATATTATATATATATATGGGCAAACTGCATTGAAAATATGTGCAGATGGTCTGCGAGGCTCTTTGACAGACTGGCTGCCACATGTCAGCAGATGACTGGGCTTGTGCCTCACCCAGCAAGACAGGACGCATCTCAGGCCTTCAGGGTCTCTTGCAAATGGTCAGAACTCAAGGGTCCATTGGAATGCACACACAGATTCCTATTGAATTGGAATATCGGCTATTCACTCTGTGTTTAGGAATACTCAGTATCGAGGTTCACTAATACCCATCATGGAGGTTCTATGTGCCCTCCTTGGTCCCCTGTGTCCCTGGACCCAAGGTGTGCCCACCCTCTGCATGAAGCACCCATGTCTCTGTGAACCAAGAGTCTGCAGAGGCCAGAAAAGCATGGGACCCAGAGGTTGGCATTTGGGCTAAAGCTCATACTCAGAGCCATGTGCAGGGCCAAACAGGTGATGAAAAATGAGAGCACTGGGCTGGACCCAGGCTGAACTCAGGAACAGGCAGCAGCAACAAATTTCCAGTAATGAGAGTCTGCCAGGGACACAGCACTGTCACTTTCCTCCTGCCACCTCAAGAGTTAAGCCTAGGGACAGCTGCAGGTCTCAGTGCCCACAGCAGCACCCCAGAACTACATTCCAAAGAGGGGATCAGAGAGGAAGCACTTTGGTTTTTTACACAGCTCCTATTTATGTGTTCTTATGACATGCACTGTCCTGTTTTCATGGTTTTGTTGAAGTTCCAGGTAGAATGGGCTAAATGCACATTAAGACTGAAAACAGAATGTTAAATGGCATCATAGACATATTAGAAAAGGAGGGCTTAGAGATTACCTGAGTCAACCTTGTGTGAAAACTGAGAAAAATGAGACCCTAACAATGTTATATGGTAGGCTGCAAAGGCTGGCTTTGGGTCCCAGAAGAAAATATGCGTGTCTGTGTGTGTGTGTGTGTGTGTGTGTGTGTGTGTTGCTTGTGTGTGTGTATAGATGTGTGTATGTGGGTATATGTGTGTGTGTATATATATATGTATATACAGAGAGAGTATATAAGGTGAATATGTACATTTGCATTTATATATAAATATATAAATACACAAATATAAATATATAAGGTATATATATACACACATAAGGTGTGTGTGTGGATGCATATATATGTGTGCATATATATGTATATGCAGAGAGAGCGTATATGAGGTGAATAGGTACATTTGTATTTATATGTAAATATATAAGGTATATATATATACACATAAGGTATGTGTGGGGGTATATATGTGAGTGCATATATATGTAACATATGTATATATATACACAGAGTATATAAGGTATATATATATATACATATGTTAGTATGTAAGGTATATATATGGTGTATATATATGTATATATATAATATATGTATATTTACAGAGAGTAAGGTGAATATGTATATATAAATATATAAGGTATATGTGTGTGTGTGTATATATATATATATATATGGTGTGTGTGTGCGCATGTGTGTGTATCCGGATTTGCTACTGTCTAATGAATAAACAAGATCCAGATTTGAAACACAATAGTGTATATGAATGTTATCAGAAAAAGCCCATCAAATTTCTCCCACACTGGGGCACTGCAGAGTCCTTCCCTTCTCGAATGTTCTCCCTGGCACTTGTGTTTCTCTCCTTCCTGACCTCTGCCTAGTCGCAGATAGAGATGCATTTTGACAGAACCGGGAAGAGTTGTTCTATTTCCATGGCAACGTCAATTCACATTCTGCAGGTACATTGGCCGCCACTGCCTAAATGAAGGCTCCTCAAGGCTCTGTGTGTTGCCGTGCCTGGCCAAAAATAACTGGGCATGCCACCGTTCCTCACAGCCCCATGGAGAGAGGCATTAAACTGACTGGATGCCAACTGTCAACTCTGTTCCTGTCTTCCTGCTAAAGAGGAAGAAACAGGAACTGCCAGTGTTTTGGGGGAGGGGAGCCAGGGAGGCTGCTACATTGTTTCCATGGTCTGAGAAACATCGCATTTCCTCTGTTGAATGGAACATGAAATACATTCTTACTTGTTCACCCCAGGGGCACCAGATAATTTGTATTTCAGCAGAAGTATTATAATTACATAGTTTAGAGTTAGAATTAATTAGCATTTGGGGAAGTAGTGATAAAACCAAGCAGTTATTAAAAAAATTAATTTTAATAGAGGTCAGTTTGGAGAGAGTGCTTGGTTTTCTTTTGAAAGATTTGTGTGTGTGTGTGTGTATGGTGGGGGAGATAAAAGAATAAAATTATTAAATGATCCTTTAATCAGTCTGAAATGTGAACTACCTTATCATTAGACGCTACCACTGGATGTTAAAATCCAAATTAGTGGCACACATGCAGAACATATTTCAAAATTAGTCAAGAGTTAGGTGAATCTTTGAGGGTTATCTATGAAAAAAAAAGAAAGTTTTGTAGAGTCCTTTAAAAAGTATATCATGTTCCCAAGAATGTGGGTCATAACAACCTTCTTGACGTTAAACATAGTCAAGAATGATTTCATGTATTATACTAGACACATGAGATACTTCATAATAATTAAATATTGTTTGAAGAATAATTTTTGAAATCAGTTAACATTGCCTACGAGTGCGCTGAGTGTGAAGCTCTCCTGGGAGGGCTTGTGCACCCGGGAATAAAGTTGAATCTTTGCCCTCATGAGGCTTTTACTTTGTTTTGAGTGAGGAGTCAGAAAAGACTGCAATTTTTAAGAGTATTTTTACCTTCAATTGGAGTTTTACAACACTCCTCTAAGTTCTTAAAATCAAAGACCATCACAGTTAAATTTTAATTTTTTTCTGAAATTGATCACCGTTCCGTGGTTGTATAAAAGACTGTCCTTGTTCTCAGAAGATAATGTTGAAACCTTTGGGGAGAAAGAGACATCATGTATGCAGTTTACTCTCCAATTGTTCAGCAGTAACAATAAGTGTTTTCATTAGAATGAGAGAAAGGGAAAGCAGTGGAGAAAATGAGGCAACTTGTTATCAAGTGGTGAGTGGAAGTGGAAGGTATGCTACAGTTACTGTACTATTCGTATAACTGTTCCTTCGTTTATATATTTTTTTCAAAACAATAAGTTAATGTAGTCTATAGCTTTAGGCAAAAACTCTTTTTCAAGGAAAAGGAGCAGTGTGCAAAAGTTATTTTTATTTTTTCTTAAATGAATTCGCAGTCTTTTTGAAAATCTGGAACGTCAACACTTGTAAATGTATACTTCTTTAGTTTTCAGATTATAGTAGGAATTACCCTACTAATATTCTGAAATAAGAAGTAGCCTTTACTGATGTACCAATATTTTTAAGCAGTGCCAGTTTCTAAGTAATCTTTTCTTAACTTCGCTTCTGAAAATTTGAAAAATGTCCTTTCGTCACAAGCTATAGGCTGCATTAGTTTAGCTTTTCCTTTTCCTTCCAAGACAACACCCTTGCCGCAGTTTGGGGCCAGAATGATCAGCTGACCCATTCCACATCTTTATACTCTAAATCAAAGTTGTTCCCTTTAAAGAGCTCATTGGAGAGGAATATGTGGGATTTGATAAGCTCCGTTGATGGTTTAATAATTATGAATGTTTAACAGACATTATACATTTATCCCACATTTACTAGTATAAGAGCGAAAATAAGGAATGAAAGCAAATTGTTCTGCAGGGTCCATTTGTGCATGCTATTATGCCCCATAAAGAAAAAAAATCTTTCATAAAGGATCGTTAGTTTTTTCATCTTATTTACACCATTAGATGTTGCTGCAGAACATTAGAATATGCACTGGTGCAACGTGAATAGTCTGTCTGCTATTTATTGCATAATCCATTTTATGCAATGTCAAAAAGGAAAACAACCAAAAATACAGGGTTTATTTTAAATTAGGAGTTAAGCTCTGACTTTCTGATGTGCTAAGTTGAAGCCTGGAGCATTTTCTCGCTAATCCAGTGTGAGTTTCTAACAGTGAGCCCTGTTTTAAGAGGAAAAAGGGTGATGTAGTCCAATTAATAAGATGGCCTTGTTCATTTTCCCTGGGATGATGAAGCATTGGATGGCTCCCTGGCTCAGTGAAAACAGGGTGGAAAAACGTTGATCCAGGAATTGTAAATTGAGCATGCAGGGCTCTGCAACAGCTTTCCTATACTTCTTTGGGAATAAGGAGTAGGGTTCACCATACCTGTCCAGTTTTCTTTGCACTTGCCACTGTTTCTCTTAAATTGTTTTGGGAGGTTGCTTTCATTTTGGCACATTTTTGACGAAAAATGTGTGCCTTCAAGTTCATGCCCAGGTTGTCTGTCCTGATCACACAAATGGCCTTGGAGGTTCCTTATGAATTCTGTATGCAATCTGTCACTGCATTGCTTATGTAGCAGTTTTGAGTGCAAAGCCTTGAAAATTAATGAAGTGCCTTTCTGTTTTCTGTCCCAATCTGTGATCTGGTGCCTGGAGGGTATTTTGACTATTTTTGACTTCACTTGTTTTTGTTGTTGTTGTTGTTGTTACATACAGTTTTTTTATTTTTAAATTCTCTCTCTAATATGTTATTTTGCTTTTATTCTGTCCATTCATTCAACACCATGTTGACATAGTTTGGATATTTGTCCCTACAAATCTCATATTGAAATTTGGCCCCTAATGTTGAAGGTGGGGCATAGTGGAAGGTGTTTGGGTCATGGGGAAAGATTCCTCATGTATAGCTTGGTGCCGTCCCTGTGATAATGAGCGAGTTCTTTTTCTACTAGTTTATGCAAGAGCTGGCTATTTAAGAGAGCCTGACACTTCCTGCCATCACTCTTGCTCCTTCTCTGGTTGGGTGACCCACCTGCTCCCTTTTCACCTTCCACCATGATTTGAAGCTCCCTGAGGCACTCACCAGAAGCAGATGTTGGTGCCATGCTTCTTGTACAACCTACAGAACCATAAGCCAAATCAATCTTTTCTTTGTAAATTATCCAGCCTCATGTATTCCCTTACAGCAGCACCAAACAGACTAAGACATATATGCATAGTTGTGTTCTTAGATTTTGTTGTTGTTGTTCCCAAGATAGATTTTCCTTTCTTTTTTTCTTTTCTGTTCTCCATGTCTCTTCATTCATATTACAGATGAGGCACAGGACCTGGGCTGAAGTATGTACGGGGTAGGTAGGTTATGTTCTCTCCTCTTTCTATGCAGTCGATGTAAGAATCCCAGCACTTTGGGAGGCCAAGGCGGGCGGATTACCCGAGGTCGGGAGTTCAAGACCAGCCTGACCAACATGGAGAAACACCGTCTCTACTAAAAATACAACAAATTAGCAGGGCGTGGTGGCACGTGCCTGTAATACCAGCTACACGGGAGGCTGAGGTAGGAGAATCGCTTGAATACGGGAGGCGGAGGTTGCGGTGAGCAGAGATTGCACCATTGCACTCCAGCCTGGGCAACAAGAGTGAAACTCTGTCTCAAAAAATAAATAAATAAATAAAAATAAAAATTAGTGGAGGAAATGGGCAAGCGTCGAAGCTGAGAATTTTCTATGGTCCCTTCCCTCCCCTGCAGTTCTGGGAATGGCCACTAGGGACGCAGTTGTGCCGTTAATGGGTCTCGGGGGAGGCCTTGCCCAGGTGTGAACGAGGGAGGTCAGAGCACTGTTACTCTTATGGCGCATAACTATACAGTACTATAACTTTACTATGATAACTTCACTGAGCAACGGTACAAATCGACAAATGGACAACAGTTTCTATCATTGATTAATCAAATAATCAGAAGTCAATAATCTGCTAAGAATATTCTGACCTCTACTGGCCCTTGGCAATAGATGGAGACAGAACAATGCCGCAAACGTGAAGACAGCCTCCCACTCTCTCCTCTCCCACTTCTCCTACAGGCTTTGAGGATCACCACGTTTCGCTCCTTCATTCACATGTCTCTGACATTTTAGAGTCCAGAACATCACAAGATACCCATAATTTCCAATGACGTGAAGTAATAGAGATAAGATTTAGTAGGAGAGTAAACCTACCTCTGTCCTTGCTGTTGTATCCCCAGTGTGCAGTGGGGTGACTTCCCAGAGTAGGTGTGAAGTCAGTGTTTGTGGAATAACAGATATGAAAGAAAATAGACTCAGTTTTGTAAGAAAGAACAAGGTTCACTCAGGATAAGATGGGCAAGGGAATTTCTTCTTATGTGTAATCGCTGAATCATGCATAATTGGAAGGGAAAGATCACTGCTACGTTAATTTCCTCCTGCAAACACACACACTCTCTTCTTGCAAAACAGTGTAACCTATCTCCCTTGCCTTTCTCATTGGAGAAAGCTTTTTGCATGCAAGTGTTTCCCCCAAAAGCAAGACCTCAAATAGAATACTTTTTTTTTTTTTTTTTTTTGAGACAGAGTCTCACTCTGTCGCCCAGGCTGGAGTGCAGTGGCGCGATCTCGGCTCACTGCAAGCTCCAGCTCCCGGATTCGCGCCATTCTCCTGCCTCAGCCTCCCTAGTAGCTGGGACTACAGGCGCCTGCCACCACGCCCGGCTAATTTTTTGTATTTTTAATAGAGACGGGGTTTCACTGGGTTAGCCAGAATGGTCTCGATCTCCTGACCTCATGATCCACCCGCCTCGGCCTCCCAAAGTGCTGGGATTACAGGCGTGAGCCACCGCGCCCGGCCGAGAATACTTTTTGTAGGTTGGTGAAAGAGTGACTTATGTATAGGCAGAGGTGCAAAGAGAGTGTTTTACTGGAAGTGCAGGGTTGTAACTTTACTCTATAAAGAATTATAAAATTTGTAGACTCATGAATATTAGAACTGAAAACAACATTAGTGATTCTAGTTTCATCTTTTCCATGTTTGTAGTCAAGGAAACCTTTTCTTTGGAGAAATGATAAAGTTAACCACAATCACATTCATTTTGAATATTTTTGTTATTAAGTAACATATGCTAAATTTATGACATTTGTTTTCAATAAGAGCTGTGACATGGATACTCTAATCAAGAAATTAATGTAATAACTTACATTAAGCTGAATTTCTTGTATTTAAAATTTTATCTATATGTGAATATATTTTTAATGTCACTTTTTATCAGCCCTGTTAACTTGAGGGCTGTGGCAAAATTCCTATTTCTTTATCTATAAAATAAGGATAGTATCATATCTGTTCTGCTTTCCTCTTTTCTCAAAAGTAACTGAGAAAATGTGAAAGCATTTTATGAACTATAAAGCAACATACCATGAAGAGAATTAAACAAATGAATATAATTTTATTATTCTCCCAAATAAATCCAACCTTTATTATTAACACATATGTGAACAGTGCAAAAACAAGTCTGATACATTTTTTAAAGGTCAGGAATTTTGTAGAATTTTTAAACTATAAAAGAAACATGACATGATTTTCTCAAACATAAATTTCTTGCTTTTATTCTAATACGTAAATAAGCACAATACTGATAACCTATGGGTCAGATCTGGCAGGCTTCCAAATTAACCCATCTGGCAGAAGTCTTGTGATTCATGGCAACATGCGGTCCCTGGGTAGGGTCTTATCAGGAGTTCTCCAATTGTTGGCATACTGTTTACTATGTAACTTACAGACACTGAAAAGGATCCTGATTTGTTTCAGAATGGGAAGAAAGTCTGGCTGATGGTCTTGCACATGGACACTTTAACCTGTATGTTGCCATCTGTAGCCAATGATTGTAACTTCTGTAATGTACCCTCCAATGAAAAAGGACAGCTCTGGTGTGAGGAGTTCTCTTCCTTCTAAACTTTCTTATAGAGGCCTTCCAACTCCTAGCTGACTCTGGAACACACCCAACTTCTGTTGACTTCCTGAGTCAATCTTCACATTTAGTTTTCAATAAACCTTTGTCAATCGTCACGTTTGATTTCGAACAAATGTTTATCAAACCATTATCAAACCTCAACAGTCTTAATTTTGGTCAACAATACTAACATTTTGAGCAACTTATTATTTAAAAATTGATGTATATTAATTCCTAAAAGGTGGACTTATTACAATGTAACAACCAGTCATATCTAAAATGCCACTAGAAAATTCCTCATAAAAATGCTATCTCTGTTGAATTAATAAATTTTCCCTTCAATTTCATAGTCTTTTTTTTAGAAGCCTAGCCTATATAGTGTTTATTTCTATATTGGACCTGGCTATACTCATTAGTGATTTTATAGTGCTTTCTTTGTTATTTATTTTAGAGTGCTTTGGGGGGGGACAATTTTAGATTCTTTTTTTATGAGATGGAGTCTCGCTCTGTCACCAGGCTGGAGTGCAGTGGGGCGATCTCAGCTGACTGCAAACCTGTGCCTCCTGGGTTCAAGTGATTCTCCTGCCTCAGCCTCCTGAGTAGCTGGGACTACAGTTGTGTGCCACCACGCCTGGCTAATTTTTTGTATATTTAGTAGAGACGGGGTTTCACTGTGTTAGCCAGGATGATCTCCATCTCTTGAACTCGTGATCCGCCTGCCTCGGCCTCCCAAAATGCTGGGATTATAGCCATGAGCCACCTCACCCAGCCTAGATTCTTTTAGAGAAAGATCAAAGCATGTGTAATAAAGTTTGCTTTCTGTTCTAGTTTTGTTTGGTTTCAGAATGCATGTATAAAATTTTTATAACTTCACAGAGTAGGATGGCATTGTGCTTGGGCCTCGTTCCTGTTTTTTAATGTGATTACATATGAGTTCTTTCATAGAAATTTTACTAGCTAGTGGTCACTGTGTGTGAAATGCTGCTTATTGACTGGGTCCATGTCTGTGTCTGGTTTTCCTCATCATTCTGAACCCACTGCATATTGGCATTTGCCAGTGGGGTGAAAGTACTGTACAGGCCTTTTGGAAAACCAGGCTCAGGCCCCAGGCTCTGAGTGAGAGGAACAATGGGGAGCTGTCATCCCCTCACCTCCTCCCAGTGAAAAATAGAAAATCAAATCTCCTTTGGCCACTTGGCAAGGATCTAGCCGTTATTTCTCCAGTGTAAAAGAAAAGGGTCTTGGAAAAAGACCCTTTGCTAATCAATATACGAGTAGGAAAGATTAGAGAGGTTTGACATCTTGGGCATTAGGATTCACTGCCTGAACTCCTTTTGAATTCTACTTTGTTTTATTTTCTTGGAATTTATGGCTGCAAATGACTGTGCTCTTGGAAACTGAGGGCCTGATGAAAGTTCTTCCCTTGCTTGTGTAACAAGTGACACTCACGGACTGACATCAACTTCCAAAAATATGCAGAATTTTAGAGAAAAAAACCAACTGCACAAGTTGCAATTTTGTACAAAGAGGAAACAACAATAACTTTGTGTTTTAGGTATTAGGGAGCTCATCCATGTTCAGGCCATTTTACCAAATTTAAAATTTTTAATAACCAAAATTTTACCTTAGAAATGTAGCATTTTGCCATCATTCCTTTTGTCAAAATGTTGTTTTTCTGGCTGGACACAATGGCTCATGCCTGTAATCCCAGCACTTTGGGAGGCTAGGCAGGAGGATTACTTGAGGCCAGAAGTTTGAGACCAGCCTGGGCAACATAAAGAGACCTTGTCTCTATAAAAAAGTAAAAAAAAAAAAAAAAAAAAAAAAAAATATATATATATATATATATATATATATATATATATATATATATATATATTTGCCGGGTGTGGTGGTTTGCACCTGTGGTCTGAGTGACTCAAGAGGCTGAGGTAGGTGGTTCCCTTGAGCCCAGGAGTTTGAGGCTACTGAGAGCGATGACTGCACCGCTGCATTCCAGTCTGGTCGACAGGGCAAGACTCTATCTTTAAATAATAATAATGATGATAACAACAACAGCAATACTAATTTTAAAATGTTGTTTGTCTCCATATTTAAATGCCAAACTGTTTAGTTAACATTTTTAATTTGATTTCAATTAACCTATGCTTGGGATCTTTTTACCATTACAATTTGCATTTGAAATACATAATAGAGTTATTCTAATAATCCAAAAACAGACTTTTGAGATCTTTTCCCTTCTCTTTTTGATTTATAAATAGCATATTGATTCCCATTTAAAGTGTGGGTGCAGTGTGGCTGTCAGCATATTCCATTTTAGTAATTTCATTATTGATTTATTTCTTTTCTAAAAGTTACAAAAGCAATGGTGATTTGCTTTCGCAAATAGAAGTGACTCAGAATGGTAAATACTCACAGTTCATGGTTTCTTCCCTGCCTGACAGTGTGAGTCAGAAATTAAATAAATCAGTGTTGAAATTCCTAGAATGGAATCTGCTGGGACCCACACTGCGTCCATACTCCATCCCCTTCTCTACAACCAGATTAAACATACTCTCTCCATGTAGGGTGGCTCCACTTAGGAAAATAAAAGTGACTCAACTGTACCCATTTTTCCACAGGTACATTTAGCAAATACCGGTGGGTTTTGGTTACAAAGGTCCAGGGATTGGTGCTCTAGGAGAGCAGTTCAGGAAAAGGGTCTGTATGCAGGAGTGGAGGGGCGAGGGGGTACAGAGAAAGCTGCTCTGTGATAGGCTGTCCAGAGGGCAGCTCCAACAGTCTCCTGTGAATGTAAGTTATTTTTATTTATACATTTATTTTTTTGAGACAGAGTCTTGCTGTGCTCTGTCACCCAGGCTGTAGTGCAGTGGCATGATCACTGCAACCTCCACCTTCCAGGCTCAAGAGATCCTCCTGCCTCAGCCTCCCGAGTAGCTGGGACTACAGGTGCACAACACCGTGCCCAGCTAACTTTTGTGTTTTTTGTAGAGAGGGGTTTCACCATGTTCCCCAGGCTGGTCTCAAACTCCTGAGCTCGAGTGATCCGCCCACCTCAGCCTCCTAAAGTGCAGAGATTACAGGTGTGAGTCACCACATCCAGCTGTAGATGCAAGTTATATTCACAAATGTAAGATGGACATTAGAGTACGTGATTTGCCTGCTATAGAAATACAGCAGTGTGTATGTAAAGTTGTAAATGCCGTATTTTTTACCCGTAAGACAAATAGAAGAGCTATATGCTTTAATGATGCATAGGACTATTTTCTGAAATCTGCTACTGGTGTTGAATAGTTGCGGCTGTTTTTTTAAATTTATTTTTATTATTATTATTTTTGAGATGTATTCTAGCTCTGCCACCCAGGCTGGAGTACAGTGACGTGATCTCGGCTCACTGCAACCTCTGCCTCCAGGGTTTAAGCAATTCTCCTGCCTCAGCTTCCCGAGTAGCTGGGATTACAGGTGTGTGCCACCATGCCTGGCTAATTTTTGTATTTTTAGTAGAGATGGGTTTTCACCATGTTGGTCAGGCTGGTCTCTAACTCCTCACCTTGCGATCTGCCTGCCTCGGCCTCCCACAGTGCTGGGATTACAGGCGTGAGCCGCTGGGCCTGGCCAAGTTGTGGCTGTTATTTTAACATAGAAAGTTTTTTTCCAATCAAAGTGTAACTTCTCTGATAATATGCTTTGTATTTGTGATTTATGTTTTAGTAATAGTAGGGCAAAATATTTTTTTCCTCTTTTGATTACCACTAGACCAATATTTTTTGTATTATATTTAAAGTTGATATTTTGGTAACACAATAAGATAAAATATATCTTTTTCCCTTTATAACCACCAATCTGATGTTTCCAATGTAACAGTTTTAAAAACGCTTCTTCCTGGATATACCTAGTGATTCCTGAATTCTCTTACTGCAGCCTAACGACTGTTACTCGCTCTTTGCTTTAAATAATCTTGACACATAGTCCTCATCACAGATCCACATTTTCTTTGGCCATATATACAAACTCGACAGTGTGGTGTTGGAAATGTGAAAGGGCTGCTAACTCTCCTGAATCTGGGGTCACTGGTTATCAAATACCATTTAAGCACTTTATATCTGAATTAAGCCGATTTTGTTTGAGCCACTTGATTTTTCCAATGAAGCAAGAAGGAGCAAATAAGTGGTAAAAACAACCTTGGCTTGTTTTACTTTTCCTCCGTGAAGTCAGTGAGTCCGGGGCTCCCACTGGTATTTTTCATGTTCATCATGGACGTCCCAGGCAGTAGCACATTCTGAGAAATGGCATCTAACCTTTCAAATTGAAGATTTTATTTGCTAGAATATTCACTCTTTATTGCTTATCTCAAAATCAGGTGGGATGAGTGTCATTACTGTCCCCTCGTGCATGGGCTTCAGATCAGTTGATAGCTAAGCCTAGCCGATGCTCATTCATCTTTGAGATTAACAGAGTAGCTTATAAAATGCGTTACACATTTTTGAAATGCAAGCATGAAGTGCGTTAGTAAAAAAGTTCCTTCAGTAAATCTTTAAGAATCTGGAAAAAAGCACAAGTCAGTTTAAGAGTATCATATCCGTGGTTCACTTTGCAGCAGTGACTTTATATCTTGTTTTGTGTGTGTGTGGTTCTTTGCATCATTTTGAACATTTTCTTGAATGAAAATGAGTCAGATACAGCTACTTTGCTTGTCTCCTGTAGACACACACTTTGATTAATAGAGTTGTTGGCGAAGTGTTAAAAGTCAAGAATGTTGTTATCACCACACACAGAGGGACTGGATATGGGGAGTGTAGTGGGATTTTAAATGAGAAGCACTGCATATCACAATCATAGAGTAACTCCTCGAGTGATTTTACGTGATGAGCCGAGCTTCCCCAAAGAGTAATTTAATTGGCATATTTGAAGCTAGAAGTTTCTGACAGCCACCCTGTACCTTAGCAACAGCCTGTTCTCTTAGTAAGAGTCCCTGTAAACAGGTGGGAAAATTAAGGCACTCCAAATGTTTATCAAGTGTAGGACATTCATTATAGTATTTACCTTTTAGAGATATGTCTGAAATTCCATAAGACAGTTTAAGCAAGCCACCAGCTGTTGTAAAGGGACTGAGAAAGCTCTGACTAGTAGACTTCTTCTTAGAATTTACCAGACTTTTTTTTTTTCTCAGAATGCTGTGAATCATAAGACTTTCACTAAACTTTCCTATTCTTATCAAACAGCAAATAAACTGGCTAAAAATAACTGGAAGAAATCTTTTAGCATGTAACAATACTCAACTACATGGAAATAACTCTATCCTGTTTTCCTTTGTAAAACTGCAACAACAAAAAAATTGTCATTTTCAAACTGTGCTGAATCTCTGGCAGTTTTTGAACCCAGCTGCCTGTCACGGTTTGAGTCTCTGTACTGTGTGAGTGATGATAGGCTAAATCCACTTCCACTGATTTTTCTAACTCATTCTCAAAGTTGTCTTAAGGCTTTCCCATTATTTCCAATTACCTGTGAAAAATGGGCAACCAGGAGGTGGGACACAGTACCACAAAACCAAGTCATTGATAGGCTCTTACCTTCCACCTGGTGGTGGCCTCAGTCTTCCTTTGAATCTTCTGAGTAACATAGCACCAGAGAACCATATAAACAGCCCTTGATTTCCAGCCTCAGAGGCAGACATGAGAGCTGGTATGACAGTCAACTCTTACTATATCTTATCTGTATACTATACAAATAAGGGAATAAATACAAATAAAAAGATTTTTTTCTGATAATAAAGTAATGCATGTTTCCACTGGATAGTCTTAAAACTGCAAATAGTTACTGAGAAAATAAATAAAATGCACTTGCAGTTTCACCCCCAGAGATCCATAATCAGGTCCTCTGTATTGAACCATTCAAGGGGGAGTCCAGGTTCCATTGGAACACAGGATGGATAGCGGCCCCAGAAGTTGCACAGCTCGGGTCTTAAACAGCTGTTAACATCTTGTGTCACGCATTATTTGAGCCTTTCGCATCGCCTATGTAGTTTTTCTGTTGTTCTTCTTTTTTTATTTTGCTTTCTAAAACGAGTGTCATGCCATGCTGACAGGTTAAAGCTTGTTGTATCCTGTATATTTTAATGTAATGCCCGCTAACCACAGTATTCCACATCGAGAATTCTGTTCTCAGTGACAGGTGGACTGTTCTCCCGAGGGAGGGCTGAGGCAGGAGGAAGTACTCAGACTTAGAGAAGGCATGGAGAACAGGGAAGGCAGGGACAGCTGTGTGCCCCGTGGCCATCACCATTGCTGGGACCTGATTCTTGATGCCCTCCTGGCTGAGGAGTCGGCCAACATCCCTGGTACAGACTTGGTGTTATTGAGTGATAAACAAATCCTCTTCCTCCTCTCTCCTCGCCCCACTCTTTTCTTCCTCTTTTCTCTTCTTTTCTCCTCCCCTCTTCTTTCCTCTTCTCTTCTCTTTCCTTTCCTTCAATGTTCTAAGCCTCAGACTGTTCATTTCTAGAGCTGGCCAGATAGAACAGTGAGTCACGGTGAGATATTGTGTCCCATGGATTTGTTCTACCAGAAACGTTTATGAGCCACTGTTGGGGAGCTCTGGTGCTCTTTTGAAATATCCAATAGCATCTTTCTGATGAAAGCCTGGAAGAGAGGTTCCACTAGTCAGTGAACTAGCAGAAATGACCAACTACAATGATAACCCATGACCATCAATTCACAGTGGCTGTAAATCAGTGCCAATTCAGACCTGAATTACCAGGTCAAATACGGTTCCAAGTTGCACAGTGAAGATACTATCCAGCCAAAACTAAAACCAAAACCAAATCAAACAAATACATGAAAATCAGAGCTAGATCTTAATCTTTGTGGCTTGAGAAATCCAGAGAAAATAGGACCCTGGGTAAGCCCTGAAATTAAAGAGACGAATGTTAATGACTTAAAGATTTGTGTTCCAGATCTTCAGTGTATTTTTGTTTGAGAGTTCTTGTAGCTACCTGAGGTAAGGTAACCCACTGAAAATCAGCGGATGTGCAGCGTGAAGTTGGCATCTGACAGCTCCTTGATAGCACTGCCACCTGCTCACTTGCTCATTCTAGCTACAACAGTTGGTGGGAGAAACATGTGCTAGTCTTGTTATAAGTGCATGTTAATAAAGTTTTCTCTGATAATGCAGGAAAGCTGGGGACAGAGGTAGCTAGAGTTTGTTTTTCAAAGATAACATTTCTAGTCTGGTCAGATGCATCCATAAGAGGGGGAATAAACAGTGTAGGCTGATACTCATCTGGTACTAATATCCTCTTGGTCGAAGCATATCAGGCGGTGAGTGAATACAGGGCAATGCTCGAAGAAGACTTGAAGCATGGGAGCCTCAGCTCCAAGGTCGGTGGAGCGCTCTTTGAATTTAGCCCTGCAACCCATCAGCAGTGTGGCCTTTGGCAGATCACTCTCCAAACCCTGGTTTCTTCTTCTGTAAAAGTAGCATAATAGATATTCTTAATGCGTAACGTTGGGAAGTAGGAAGTAAAGAGAACATATGCAAGTGACTTTGTAGCAGATATTTCCTTAAAGGAATGCTATGGTTCTAATTGTCAGCATCACTGTCGCAAATGAGACGTTCTTAACCTGCTGTGTGCCGTAGAGCTCTCTGGCAAACTCATGGAGCCCATGGAACTCTCCTCAGGATAGTTTTGTTAAATAAAAAAAATTATACATAATATTATAAAGGAAATCATTTAGCAAATTATTACTAATATATATGTTAGGCAGAATTATGACTCCCCAAAAATGCCTGTGGCTTAGTTGCCAGACCTGTGAATATGTTATGTCCTATGGCAAGGGGAAATTAAAGGTGGAGATAGAATTAAGTTTGCTACTCAGCTGTCCTTGACATAAGAAAATTATTGTGGATTATCTGGGTGAGTCCAATGTCATGACAAGAGTCCTTAAAAGTAGAAGGAAGAGACGGGAGAACCCGTGTCAGAGTGATGCAATGGGAAACTCGATGGGCCATTGCTGGCTTTGAAGATGGAAGGAGACCATGAACCGAGGGGTTTGGGCAGCCTCTAGACATTGGAAAAAATAAGAAAATAGATTCTCCCCTTGAGCCTGTAGAAAGAAGACGGCCTGCCAACCCCTTGCTTTTAGCCCAGCTTGACCCATTTTGGATTTATGGCCTACAGAACTATAGATAATACCTTGGTATTCTTTTATGTCATCAAGTTTGTGGCGATTTGTTACAGCAGCAATAGTAAACTAATACAGTTATCAAATTAGATAAAATCCATGATGTATGATATGTTCTTCTTGATTAATTTATTAAATGACACACTAGATTTGTGTCCATAGCAAATTTTAAGAAGTTATTAGTGTCAATAAAAATGTATAGAGAGCTATATCTGAAATGTGATTTTGAAAATATTAGTAATTTTTATTGATGATGAAGTCACAGTACTAATACTACTGTGGTTTGTTGCCTATATTAATAATTTTAAAACATGATAAATTTCAGTTAGAGGTTAGTGAAAAATAGAACAAATGTTTTCCTATACCCAGCTTCAGGGAGCTTCCTGAATTTTATGCATAGAGGGTATGCAGGCCCCAGATTAAGAGTCCCTGGTTTAGATATATGAAAGAATGAGAAACCTTCTAAGTTCTTCAAGATATATACAATTCAAAAGCAAAATTAGAAAATCACTGCAGCCGGAAAGAACATTAATAATCCATTAGCCGGCGCTGTGGCTCACGCCTATAATCCCAGCACTTTGGGAGGCCAAGGTGGGGGTGGATCACCTGAGGTCGGGAGTTCCGGACCAGCCTGACCAACATGGTGAAACCCTGTCTCTACTAAAAATACAAAAATTAGCTGGGCATGGTGGTGCATGCCTGTAATCTCAGCTACTCTGGAGGCTGAGACAGGAGAATCGCTTGAACCCGGGAGGCGGAGGTTGCTGTGAGCAGAGATCGTGCCATTGCACTTCAGCCTGGGCAACAAGAGCAAAACTCCATCTCAAAACAAAAAATAAAAGAATACGAAGCTTAATGCCTTTAAAAATTTATTCTCATGAGAAAAGAGGCAGCTCATGGATGACCTCAGTGAAATCAGTACATTCTCTGTGGAGACAGTCTTTATATATCACAATGAATAAAAGTAGGGAGCATAATTTTTAAAAATGGAGGACTCAAGACACAGATTGAAAAGGGGAGCACAAATATAAAGCTCACAGGAATAATACTAAATATAACACACCTGGGTAGAAACGCATCATTTCCTCTAGTGTTTGGGACAGAAGTAATAACAATACTTCAAATATGTATTTGAAGAATATATATTTTAATATACAAAGAGGTGAGGTTGTCACATAAAATAGAGGATGCCCAGTTCAATTTGAATTCCTGATAAACAAAACATAATATTTAGTGTGAGTATATTCCAAATATTGTGTGGAGCATACTTATCCTAAAAATTATGCATTATGTAACTAACATTTAGATTGAAATGGTGTCCTGTATTAGCTAAATATGGTAACCCTGCTGAGAAGAGACTACTAATTCTACCTTTAGGCTGTATGAAGTAATATTTGCAGTAATAGATATTGTTTGGAGTATCTCTGCAATGAAATTCTCTTTGAGCTTGCTCTCTTTAAAAAGAGAAGCCTCGTGCTGCATACCTACCATATTGCCTCTCCAAGCCCACTCTTTCCCTGTCTTCACCCTGCTCTGAGCCCCAGGAGGCTGGCTGCCTCAATGGGCTCCCAGGTCATGGGCTTCCTACCAGGTTCCACAATGGGAGGCATCAGCAGGAGACTATAGGGCAGAAGAGCAGTATCGTTAGAGAGTTGATTTTGTTTCACCTGCTCCTTCCCATTCAGGTTGCTCTGAAACCACTCCTGCCCACTAACCCTCCATGCCTAGGGAAGATGACAGTTTTGAGCTGCTCTTAGCCCCTGGGTACTGCACTGGCTTTGTAAATTGCCCCTTTATTAATGATTGAGCTTGAAGGTGCCATCTCTTCCCTTCTGGAGCTTTAATATGCTGAAGAATATGATGTAGATCTCCAAGGTCAAGAGTACCGTCTGCATCCATGAAGCTGTGAATTAGAAAAAGAAAAGTAAGATTTGGAAAGAAAATAGTTAAGTTGACATTCAATAGTGAGGTCTTGCTGGTCACTTAATCTCTCTTTTAAAACAGATATTTATTCCTGGAAGGTTTCTGGAAAAATTAATAGAAGCAGGAGTCTTAATCAGTTGAAAGACATAAAGACATAGACTACAGAAATAAGCAGTTTATTACTAGAATGTCTATGTTACTCATAAAACAAGACATAAATCCTGTATTTATGAAATATATGTATTTAAAGGGCTTTCTTCAGAAAACTTAAAAAACAAAATATTTAGAAACTATTTCATAAATATTTAGGAAAAAGGCAAAAAGAAGCAAATCATGTGTTGTCCTGAGACTTTTTTCCTGCAATCTCCCTTTTCTCCTCCTCCCTCCCAGTACTGCTGAAGTTTTCTTCCTAAAGAAGGGTACTCAGCCGGGCGCAGTGGCTCACGCCTGACGCCTGTAATCTCAGCACTTTGGGAGACCGAGGCAGGTGGATCGTGAGGTCAGGAGATCGAGACCATCCTAGCCAACATGGTGAAACCCTGTCTCTACTAAAAATACAAAAATTAGCCAGGTGTGGTGGTGGGTGTCTGTAGTCCCAGCTACTCAGGAGGCTGAGGCAAGAGAATCACTTGAACCCAGGAGGCAAAGATTGCAGTGAGCCGAGATCGCATCACTACACTCCATCCTGGGTGACAGAGTGAGACACTGTCTCCAAAAGAAAAAGAAAAAGAAAAAAAGAAGGGTGCTCAGATCTTCACCTCCAGCACAGACACTTGGATGACTTCCTTCTATGCATCTGAGAAGTTTTCAAAAAATATTTGCTAAATTTAATTGCATTTCTGCTTCTTTAACCCAACTGTCTTAGATATGGTTTGGAAAAGAGCAAGAGAAAAGTAAAGTTAAATTCCCTAATTATTTCTTAAACTTTCCCCAGAAACTTAATGGGCACGTTGGATCATAGTTTGTCCCACATAGTAAATGAGACACATGCGTTGCTGGTGAGTGCCTTCTTAAATAAGAACAGAGATCTTTCATCTAGAGGCTGGCACAGATTGGAAGGTTCTGGCTGCTATCATCCTATATGTAGTAGAGTTTTGGTTTTTTTGTTTGCTTTAATCTGAATGTCTGATTGAGGTATTCAAAGAGCAAGAGAGAAACCTGTGAAGAGATGGACTATTTGTGTCAGAACTGTTTAATCTTGTGGCTAGGATCACTTGTATTGTTGAGCTAGATTCCTCAATAGCTGTCTAGATATTTGACATATGGTGTTTTACTCTATTGTGGTATATGACCACATAAACAGATAAAATAGTAGTAATCTTTTCAATCTTTTATAGTCTGCAAGTATTCATACACTTATTTCAAAGTAGTCTGTTTCTAGCTTAGGTAAATTTAGATGATTTCATTGAATACTGTATTAAAAACCTGCTTCATTCCAGTTAATTTTTTTCAGGAATTATTACTCATACTACAAGGCATTATTTATAGCTCCAGCTCTCTTACATGATAAAGAATGAGCTGCGTATTACATTGCTATAATGAGAAATTCTCTTGTGTTTAAATTAATCTCCCTTCTTAGCATTGAGAAATTCTGTGGATTCTAAAATTCTATTTGAGAATTGTAAGAATGTTTTATTACTCTCTTATAATATGTACCATATTTTTTCTCTCATATATCTGTCAGTGATGGGTATATATATATATATATATATATATATATATATATATACACACCCATATATATATATACACCCATATATATATATATATATATACACACACCCATATATATATACACCCATATATATATATCTATATATATATATATATATATATATATATGGGTATATATATACACACACACTATATATATATATATACATAGTGCATATATACATATTATATATATATACACATACTGTATATATATTCATGTTTACATAGGTATATGTGAAATACATGTGCTTATAAATCCTGAACAATGCCAGGCAGCTGTTTTTATAATCTTGCTGGTTTATACAGAAGTCAGTTTCTACCACCTTTCTTCCAATCCTAGGGAAGTTGTCTCTAAAACACCCATCTACAGCAGAAAGGGAAGCCCATGGGCCAGCCACTGTGTGGTTTTTTATACGCATTGCTTTGTTTAGTCCTCACAGCAGTCTTGCAGAGCAGGTGTGGCGTATTCCCATTTTTAGATAATCAAACTGAGGCTCACTGAAATACAGTGAGCTCTTTAAGGTTACTCAGCTCGTAATGGTGGGTCATTGTTGCCTTCATATACAATTGACAATAGTAATTCCTCCTGGCAACAAAATGAGATATGTCCTGAACTCTCATTGTGAAGGAGGCACTGTGCCAAACATTTAAGCAGCCCAATGACACAGAGTTATTATTCCCGTTTTATAAATGAGGAAAACCGAGACACAGAAAGGTTATGACATGTGCAGATTTTGAAACCCAGATCTAATGCCAAAATCCATACTCTTAACACTTTACTATGCAACCTACCATGTGCTAGACTTTGATGAGTCTGTTGGATTATACTCGAAATCCAGTACTTCATATTTCATAATTTTAGTGGTTTCAAAATCCACGTTATTTTGACCAATTCCAACATAGCAGTTCTCATAGCTGGAAATACAAGTTAGAAATCAGCTTCCATTTAGTGATGCAAAACTCTGCAAAGGCAAATGTATGCAAGCTGATCTTTATGAAAAGCAATCCCAATTAACTTTATTTTTTAAACAATTTATTTGTATATTGACAAATAAATGTATATATATTTATTGTGTACAACAGGATGTTTTCTTATATGTATACATTGGGGAATGGCTAAATTGAGCTAATTAACCTATGCATTACTGAATATACTTATTTTTATGCTCAGAACACTTCAAATTTACTCTAAGGGCTTTTCAGGAATACAATATGTTGTTATTAATTGCAGTCACCGTGTTGTAGGATAGATTTCTTGAACTTATTCTTTCTGTCTGACTGAAATTTTGTCGTCTTTGACCAACATCTCCCCAACTCCCCACCCCTGCCCCCACCCCTGGAAACCACCATTCTACTCACTACTTCTATGAATTTAATTCTTTTAGATTTCACATATGAGATCAAGCAGTGTTTGTCATTTGTGTCTGGCTTATTTTACTTAACATAATGTCCTTCAAGCTTAGCCATGTTTCAAATGACAGAATTTCCTTTTTTATAAAGCTGAATATTATTTACTTGTGTAAATTTTCTTTATTCTTCTGTTGACACTTAGGTTGATTCTAATTTTTGTCTATTGTGAATAATGCTGCAATGAACATGGAGGTGGAGATATCTCTTCGATACGCTGATTTAATTCACAGCCTTTGGATATAGATCCAACAGTGGAATTACTGGATAATATGGTAGTTCTATTTTTGATTTTTTGAAGAACCTCTATACTGTTTCCAAAAATGGCTGTACCAGTGTAAATTTCCACCAATAGAGTACTAGGGTTCTCTTTGATACACATCCTCACCAATACTTATTATCTTTTGTCTTTTTGATAACAGCCATCTGATAAGTGTGAGGTGACATCTCATTGTGGTTTTAATTTCCATTTTGCTGATGATTAATGATGTTGAGCATTTTTTCATGTATCGATTGGCCTTTTGAATGTCCTATTTTGAGAAATGTCTATTCAGGTTCTTTGGCCATTTTTTAATTAGGCTATTTGTTTCTTTGCTATTGAGCTGTTTGCATTCCTTATATCTTTTAGATATTAATCCCTTATCAGACATATGGCTTGAAAATATATTCTCTTATTCCATAGGTTCTCTTTGCTGATTGTCTTCATTGCTGTGCAGAAGCTTTTTAAGTTGATATAATCCTAGTTGTCTACGTTTGTTGCCTGTGCTTTTAGGGTCACATACTAAATTCATTGCCAAGATCAATATTATGGAGCCTTTCCCCTGTATTTACTTCAAGTCTTATGTTTAAGTGTTTAATCCATTTTGAGTTGATTTTTGTATATGGTGTGAGATAAGGGTCTAATTTCATTCTTCTGCATGTGGATATTGTTTTCCCAGAACCATTTATTTAAGATTGTTCTTTCCTCAATGTGTGTTCCTGGCACCTTTGTTGAAAATCTATTGACTGTAAATGTGTGGATTTGTTTCTGGGCTCTTTATTCTGTATTCTGTGCAACTGGTCTGTGTGTCTGTTTCTATGCCAGTACCATCTGTTTTGGTTACTGTAGCTTTGTATATATTTTGGAGGCAAGTAGTGTGATGCTTCCAACTTGTTCTTTTGCTCAAGATTGCTTTGGCTATTTGGGGGTCTTATGGGGTTTCATATACATTTTATGCTAATTTTTTTCTATTTCTTTGAAAAATGCCATTTTGATAGGGAGTGCATTGAATTTGTAGATCACTTTGGGTAATATGGACATCTTAACAACATTAATTATTCCAATCCATAAACATAGAATATTTTTCAATTTGTATTTTCTTAAATTTCTTTTAACAATGTCGTAGTTTTTAGTGTACAGATTTTTCACTTCCTTGGTTAAACTTATTCCTAGATATTTTACTATTTTTTGGCAGCTGTAAAAAATGAGACTATTTTCTTGATAACTTTTTTGGATAGTTCATTGTTAGAGTATAAATATTCTACTACTTTTTATGTGTTGATTTTGTATTCTGTAATTTTTTTGTATTTATCTATTAGTTCTAATAGTTTTATGGTGGAGTATTTAGAATTTTCTACATAAAAGATATGTAGCCTGCAAACAGTGACAATTTAACTTCTTTTTTTTCCAATTTGGATGTTTTTAATTCCTTTCTTTTTCCTAATTTCTCCAGTTAGGACTTCCAGAGAAGTAGAACAGAAAGGACAAGAGTGGGCATAGTTATTTTCTTCCTGATATTAGAGGAAAACTTTCAATTTTTCATCATTGTGTACAATGTTAGCTTTGGGTTTGTCACATATGCCCTTTATTGTATTGAGCAACATTCTTTCTATACCTAATTTGTTGAGAATTTTATCATGAAATAATTTTGAATTTTCTCAAAAGCCTTTTCTGCATCTATTGAGATGCACGTGGTTTTCCCCTTCATTGTGGTAATGTGGTGCATCCCATGTATTGATTTGCATGTATTGAACCATTCTTCCATTCTAGGGACCAATCGTACTGATCAAGGTGAATAGCCTTTGTAGTGCGCTGTTGAATTTGGTTTGCTAGGATACGGGCCTGCAATTTTCTTAGAGTGTTCTTGTCTGGCTTTGGTATCAGGGTAATGCTGACCTTGTTAAATGAGTTGCAAGCTTCACCTCTTAGACTTTTTAAAATAATTTGGGGAAGATTAGGATTAGTTCTTCAATATTTCATAGAATTTATCAATGAAGCCATCAGGTCCTGGATTTTTCCTTGATTAGAGTCTTTTTACTATTGACTCAATCTTGTTACTCATCTCTGATCTATTCAGATTGTTATATTCATGATTCAGTCTTGGTAAGTTGTATGTGTCTAGATATTTATCTGTTTTTTTATGTTATCCAGTTTGTTGGTGTATAACTGTTCATATTAGCTTTTTATAATCCTTCGTATTTCTGTTGTATCAGGTGTAATGTTTCTCCTTTTATTTCTGATTTTGTCTTCTTTTTTTCTTAGTCTAGCTAACGATTTGTTGGTTCTATTTTTGAAAAAAAAAAACCCAACTTTAGTTTTGTTGATCTTTTCTATTGTTTTTCTAGTTCTATTTTATTTGTGTTTGTACTGACCTTTATTATTTCCTCCCTTCTACCAATTATGGGCTTAGTTTGTTCTCCTTTTTCTTGTTCCTTGAAGTGTAACTTTAGGTTATTTGAAATCATCTTTTTTTTTTAATTTAAAAGTTTTTTTGTTAAAAACTTCTTTATTAGAACTACTTTTGCTACATCCTATAAGTTTTGGCACACTGTCTCTGTTTTCATTAGTCTCAATGATATTTTAGTACTTAAAATTTAGACGTAAAAAATGACCTATTAATTTCTTCTTTGACCCATTGATCATTCAGGAACATGTTTAATTTCCATGTATGTGTGAATCTTCCAAAATTTCTCCTGTTATTGATTTCTAGTTTCATACCATTGTGGTTGGAAAAGATACCTGATGTGATTTCAATCTCCCTAGATTTGTTAAGACTTATGGCCTTTCAGTCTATGCATGTCCTTAAATCTGAAGTGACTGTCTTACAAGCAGCACATAGTTGGGTCATGTTGTGTTCTTTTTAAATCCACTTATCCACTCTTTGTCTTTTTGTTGTAAAATTTAATCCATTTACATTCAAGGTAATTGTAAATAGGTAAGGACTTATTAGTGTCACTTTGTTACTGGCTTTCTGGTTGTTTTGTAGATCCTTTGTTTCTTTCTTCCTCTCTTGCTGTCTTCCTTTGTGATTAGGTGATTTTGTTTAGTGGTGTGCTTTGATCCTTTACTTTTTATCTTTGTGTGTCTACTATAGGTTTTTGCTTTATGATTACCATGAGGATTACATAGGTGGCTTATATTTATAACAGGCTATTTTAAGCTACTAATGACATAACTTTAATTGCATACAAAGGCTACACTTTCACTTCGCCCAACAGTTTATATATATATGTATATATATGTATATATTTTTTTTTTTTTTTTTGAGATGGAGTTTTGCTCTTGTTGCCCAAGCTGGAGTGCAATGGCACGATCTTGACTCACTGCAACCTTTGCCTCTCGGGTTCAAGTGATTCTCCTGCCTCAGCTTCCCGAGTAGCTGGGATTACAGGCACGTGCCACCATGCCCAGCTAATTTTTTGTATTTTTAGTAGAAACAGGGTTTCACCATGTTAGCCAGGCTGGTCTCGAACTCCTGACCTCAGGGGATCCACCTGCCTCGGCCTCCTAAAGTGCTGGGATTACAGGTGTGAGCCACCATGCCCAGCCAGTTTTCTATTTTTGATGTCACAATTTGGATCTTTTAATATTGCATATTTCTTAACAAATTGTTGTAGCTAATATTATTTTTAATGGTTTTGTCTTTGAACCTTCATACTAAAGATATAAGCAATTTACATACTACCATTACAGTATTAGAGTATACTTAATTTGACCATTTACTTACTTAGACTGAGTTTTAACTTTCATATATTTTCGTGTTGTTTATTAATGTTCTTTCAGCCTGTAGAGCTCCCTTTAGTGTTTCTTGTAAAAGGGGTCTGCTGGTGATGAACTACTTCAGCTTTATGTTTTCCTGGGACAATTTTTATTCTTCCTTTATTTCTCCTAATAATAAGCTAATATTTAAAAATGTAAAATTTTGACATTAAAAATATAAGTGTTGGCAAGAGTAAAAGTATAGAGATTTTGTATACAATTAAAGTTATGTCCTTTTCTGAAGGACAGGTTTGTTGAATTGGCAGTTTTTTCTTTCAGCATTCTGCATGTATCATCCCACCTCCTCCTGGTTTGTAAGGTTTCTTCTGAGGAATCTGCTGCTAGCTTTATTGGAACCCCTTTATTTTTGATTCACTTATTTTCTCTTGCTGTTTTCAGGCTCCTCTCTTTGTCTTTGATTTTTGATAGTTTGATTATAGCATGTCTTGGTGTAGTCTTGCTTGCATTGAATCTGATTGAAAATTTTGACTTTTCTGTACCTGTATATTTATACCTTTCCCTAGATTTGGAAAGTTTTATACTATTAGTTTTTTAAGTAAGTGTTCTACCTCTTAGTCTTCCTCTTCTTTGCCTCAAACTCCTGTAATGCAAAGATTTGCTTTCTTGAATTGGTCATATAATTCCATGTATACTTTCTTCAAATTTTCTCATTCTTTCTTTTTTTCTGTTCTAATTATATAATTTCTTCTTTAAGTTCACAGATTCTTTCTTCTGCCTTATCAGGTCTACTGTTGATGACCTTTATTGCATTTTTCTGCTCCTCGATTGTATTTTCTAGCTCCAGAATTTGCTTTTAAAAAAAAATGTCAATCTCACTGCTAAATTTCTAATATTGATCATTTATTGTTTCCTGATCTCAGTGAATTGTTTCTCTGTATTTTTTGAAGAGTTCTGAGGTTTCTTAAAAATTTTTTGAATTATTTGTGAGAAAGATCATAAATTTCTAGTTCCTTTAGAGTTTTATTTTATTTCTTTGGTCTTGGAATCTGCTCTGGGAGTGTGGTGGGAAGTCAGCCTGTTCTCAATTAGTTCTTTTTTCTTATTTTTATATAACTGGCTACCAATGACCTATATTCAAATAGAAAGCAAGCCAATTTCTTAATTTAAGTGGAACTTATCCTCATTATCTATAATCTATACCTAATAACACATGCATTATAAAGTAGAATTTATCAAAGGCTCTGAAGCACTAGAATAGGATTTTTTTTTTCTAAAGCAATGGAAAAATCACTTGATTTATTTGAAAGATATTTATTGGTTACTTATTATACTCTGGTCATTATTCTAGGTGTCTTAGATATTTGAGTGAACATAACAGACAAAAGTTTTCCTTTATGGGATTTCTGTTGTGGGAAGAAGGGTACTACATCAAACCTAATAAATATGTAAATTACATAGTATGATCAAATGTTATGTGTAGCATGTGTGAAAGAAATGAGACCCCCGGGAAGGGGGGTTGGGAGTGATGGCATAGGGGTTGGCAATAGTCAGTGGGGGCAAAATGCTTCAAACAGGGCTTGCTGAGAAAGTGGCATCCGAGGAAATGCTTAAAGGAAGGGAAGTTGCTGGTGAAATGTATTTAGAGGAAGAGCTTTTCAGGCAGAGAGAGAAGCTAGGCAAAGGTCTTAGGGCAGGAGTGTGACTAGCATGTTGCAGAAACAGCACAAAGGCCAGTGTGCCTGGGTTGAATGAATTGGGTGTGGGGGTGTTTATAGAAGGAGGGTAGGTAGGACAGAGAGGAAATGGGAGACAGGTTACCTGGGGTATTGCAGCCCTTGGAATACCCTTGAATGGTACAGGGTACTTTTGCATGGATTTGAACAGAGAATCTAATTTCTGTTTTAGCAACTGCAGCAGTTGCTGAACTGAGAAAAGACAGAGGTGACTGGAGGGTGGGGGTGGCGTGCAACACTAGAAAGAGGCAGGCCTGCAAGGGAAAATTGCCAGAGTCCCAGCAATGCTTGACAATAAGAGAATCGTGGCAAAAAGGTTAGGCAGAAGCAATCACTCTCTGGTCATATTTTGCAGGTAGAATAAGTAGGATTTGTTGACAATGTGAACAGGAGATATGAGATAAAAAAAGAGAGCAATTACCAATAACCTCCCAGAATTTTGCCTTATTACCTGTCAAAGAGAAAAATAGATTTTTCACTAGAAAGCATTTATTTTTAAAAAAGAATAAGAGAACACATTTGAAGTGTTCGTAATTAAATTAATTTTAGACTCTAAAATTGCACTTTCTTTTATGATATCGTAAGACAAAATACTTTGAAATTTTACAAACATCTTAAAACACGGGGGCAGAGACTCACAGATTTTATAAGCTGGTGAAGTTTTATGTTTGAATTCCTCATGTGCCCAAGTCACGTAAAAGAATAATGGAGCTCATCCATGTCATCTGTAGTTTAAAAAGTGACCTTAAATCTGTTTTAATTAATTATTTTGCCAAAGTTTGGCAATTTTAGAGAAAGTTGAAGAATGATTTTTACACTAATAGAAGTCAGCAAAAATCCCCAGTGACAAGGAATCCTTGTGTGAATAGAGAATGCTGGTGTTTATACTGACACATTTTCATGTCCATGAGACAGAAACCTTGCAGGACAGTGGGAGAGAATGTGGGGATAAAAACTAAGCAAAGAAAGCACATTAACAATTGGTCCTCATCCTACCAAGTGCCAGAAGCTCCTGCCTGCACTGCCAAATGGCTCTAGACAACCTCTTTGTGACGTCAGGGTGGGGGTACTCCAGCCAGACCTCTCTCAAATCTTTTCTCAAGAATGAGGTGGAAGTTAAACAAAGACTTCCCAACCCTAACCTCCTTCCTCTCACATACCCTTACCTGATTCCTGCATGGAGAGGAGGATGGTATGTGATCCATCAGCCACACAGTGGGAAAGTAATATTTCAACATCCATGTAATGAAAATATACTGTGTGAACCTACATAGTAAGTAAAAGAAATTAAAATGTCTAGAATCCAATTATAGATTCCATTTTTTTAAAAAAATACTGTATTTATTGTGTATAACACTGTCCTTAGCAAATCACATAGACCTACTGATATGGTTTGGTTCTGTCCCCACCCAAATCTCATTTTGCATTTTATCTCCCATAATTCCCACGTGTCATGGGAGGGGCCCGGCAGGAGGTAATTGAATCATGGGGGTGGGTCTTTCCTGGGCTGTTCTCATGATAATGAATAAGTCTCAGGAAATCTGATGGTTTTATAAAGGGGAGTTCCCCTGCACACGCACTCTCTTGCCTGCTGCCATGTAGGACATGATTCTGCTTCTCATCCACCTTCTGCCATGATTGTGTGGCCTCCCTAGCCATGTGGAACAGTGAGTCAGTTAAACCTCTTGCCTTTATAAATTACCCAGTCTCTGATATGTCTTTATTAGCAGCATAAGAGCAGACTAACACACCTACAAAATCTTACGTTGTATCCTAACTGAATAATATATCTTTGATTTTTATTTCCATTTCCAAAATTTAGGGGATGGAAGATGTCTTAGGGTTCTCTGGAGAAACAGAACCAATGGTACTTATTTTTTTTTTTTTTTTTTTTTTTTTTTGAGACGGAGTCTCGCCCTGTCGCCCAGGCTGGAGTGCAGTGGCGGGATCTCGGCTCACTGCAAGCTCCGCCTCCCGGGTTCACGCCATTCTCCTGCCTCAGCCTCCCGAGTAGCTGGGACTACAGGCGCCTGCCACTACGCCCGGCTAATTTTTTTGTATTTTTAGTAGAGACGGGGTTTCACCGTTTTAGCCGGGATGGTCTCGATCTCCTGACCTCGTGATCCGCCCGCCTCGGCCTCCCAAAGTGCTGGGATTACAGGCGTGAGCCACCGCGCCCGGCCCTTATTTATATATAGAAGATATTTATTTTAAGGAATTGGCCAACGTGATTACGGAGGCTGATAAATCCAGAATCTGCAGGGTGGGCCAAGAGGTTGGAGACCTTGAGAAGAGCAAATGTTGCAGTTTAAGTTCAAAGTCAGCAGGGGACCCAGGAAGGAACTGATGTTCCAGTTTGAAGGCCATCAGCAGAAGAATTATTTTGCTTGAGGGAGCTCAGTTTCCTGTTCCATTTAGGCCTTTAACTGATTGGATGAGGTCACCCGCATTAGGGAGGGCAGTCTGCTTTGCTCAGAGTCCACTGACTAAAATATCAATCTCATCCAAACACACCCTCACAGAAACACCCAGAATAATGCTTGACTAAATGCCTGGGCCCCCTGTGGCCTAGCTGATTTGACATCAAATTAACCATCACAAAATTTTCTTTTCTTTATGCAAATTTTATAGCATTACTTTTGTGTTGTGGTTTTTTAGAAGCATAGACCTAGAGAATAGTGCCCATGACCTCTGACTATCCTATTATACATGAGGATTGCATAGTATGGTAGAATCTCCTATAATATTCTTTCCACGTGGCTGCAGAATCTCTGTGAATTCTCTTTGAAATCGCTGTGAACTCTCTTGAACTCATTTTTGTTGGCTTTTGGTGGGGAAATAACTAGAATTTAAATTGTGTCCAGTAAAGGTGATTCTGGAAATGAAGCCAAGGAAAAATAAACCATTTGCTTAATCTTTCAAGGGGCACAATAATTGGAAAAGACAATAGTGAAATAAAGCTTTTTCTTTTCACTGTTCGAGCTATAATATCCCTCCCAGGTGAGAGGTATTCTGGCTGTAATTCCCAAGGGAACCCTTGTCACAGTGGCGTCTTTAGTGAGATGATTTGATTTTTACCTTTTTTCCTTTGGGTGGATGCCTTTCTCCTCTTCTTGACTGTGCATGTGTCACTCTGTGCCCACGGAGACAGAAAAGAATAAAAAGCTTACCTCTCCCCCTGAAATGCAGCAGAGTCAAACTTCAGAGTTCAGCAGTTTCTCATTGAAACTATCAGGCAATCTGATGCAGAAAGACAACCTCAGACATGACTGAGCCTTCAAATAGAAGTTTCCAGAGACCAAACGTCTCTTTTCCTGGATCCCCGATATGGAGAGAAGCCGTGATCTCCACAGAGACTTCCAAGCTCTCTGGCATCACTTTAGCAGAGCAGCCCTTGCTGCGGAAGCAGAAACTCAGAGAGGAAGGGCTTTGCTGCTGGGGCTCAACAAAGGTGTCCGTCTCCAGCCAGCCACTGTTCCAGGTGCGGAGTACAGAGAGGGCGACACACTCATAGAGTTGGTAAGTTCATTGAGAATGGGTGCATAACAGGAAAAGTTTTGATTAATGTGGAGCCTTAATTCAAAATGTGGTCCCTGACCAGCAAGATGAGCATCAACTGTTAGAAAGACAGAAACATCAACCCCTCTCTGGATCTCCTGAACCAGTGCCTGTGTTTTCATAAGATACCCCAGGGATTTGAATGTGCCTTAGTTTGCGAAGTGCCATCTAGAGTGTACAAGAACCAGAATGTACATAAATTTGACTCTAATCAACTGGCAATGGCCTCTTCACTATGCTGGCTACAACTCTCTTCTCTCTCCTGTGCTCCTTATCTCAGTGAATAGCAGAACCATCTATGAAAACTCATGCCAAAAACCTGGATGTCTCCCTGGAAACAGCCCTCACCCTCAAGCAGCTTCATAGGTTCTCTCTAGAATGTTTCTAGAAGCTGCCCATCTTCACTGCCTCTCCCCTGGTTCCGTCTCTAAGATTATTAACTTTCTCACGGGCTTCCTTGCCTTCACCCTCAGCCCTTCCAATGGATTCCCCACCCTGCAGTTATGCTGATTTTGCTAAAATTCAAATCTTCTCATGTATCCCTCTGCTGGAAATGGTTGAGTAGCTCTGATTACTCTCAGCATGAACCCACATGACTTGGTGTGACTTCTACCTCTCTAAGGATGTGGCTCCAGCAGCCCCCTCCAGCCTCACCTCATGCAACACCCAAGCCTGCCTGAGAGACAATAGCAGTATGCTTCACTGGTGAAATGTTTTATAGCTACCTGGAGTGCTTACCCTCTACGTGTGAGCAGGCAGTCTCTCTCTCTCTCTCTCTCTCTCTCTCTCTCACACACACACACACACACACACGCACGCACACACGCACACATGCACACACACAGAGAGAGAGAGAGAGAGGGAGAGAAAGAGAGAGAGAGAGAGTTACAGGTTATAGAGAGAGGGAGAAAGTGCTTTCTCACCCTGAGATTATTCCATGAACCCATAGATAAGTCAGAACCAGGAATTACATAAAAGGCCCATGAAAGGTTAAATTTAAAGGATCAAACCTTTGTGCTAAAGACCCTGCTTCAAACATGTGGAGTTCCTCATGGTCTTATTCTCTGAGTCTGCATGTTGTTGTTACCACCTGCTTACCTGGTGCTCCCAGACTGTTAGAAGCAGAAAGTGAGACCAAGCAGAGTTGCTAAAGGCAGGCACTGATGACCCCATGCCAGCAGGACTGGCACCCAGGAAGGAGCAGAAGTACTCTAGGGAGCCAAGCAGGAGCTCAGCGGAGGCCAGGGTGAGGGCAGGTGTCCTACAAATGTCAACTCCGATGGTAGCTGATTTCAAGCTCTGTTTGATGACAGATGTTGATCCCAGTGGTTTCAAGCTTGAGCCATTCAAGGAACATTAGAAACTAGAAAGGAAATATTGCATAGGTTCTTCAAATATCAGTTTACCCCGTGAAAATTCAAGCTTTAGTCCTAATGCTTAAACAGTGCTGTATTAAGGTCTGTGTGCACTTCAAGGTTAAAACCTGAACTGTAAAATATCATTTTTTACAGTTATGGGCCCTTTTATGCTACAACCCCAGACCCCCTGAGGGCCTTCTCATTCCTTCCTTCTCCTTCCCCCTCCCTCCCCTGCCATCCCCTCCTCTCCTCTCCTCTCTCCTTCCCTTTCCTCTTTTCTTTCTCTTTTTCTTCTTTCCTTCCTTCCTGCCTGCCTGCCTGCCTCTTTTACTTGACATTTATTGGTGAGTAAATACTCCATGCCAGGATCTGAGTTTACAATGGTTGGTGGCTAGGATGGACAGTCTGGAGTCATCTGAAAAAGGACAGTCAAGAGGGGAAGGACCAGCCAGTATAAAGGCTGTGAGTTGAAAGTCATAGAGAGAGTAGTGGAAAGAAAGGCCCAGGATAAACCATGCCGGGTGATTATCCCAAGTCCTGGTGAATGCATTTCATGTGCTTTGTTGACTGTGTTACTGTATATTCACTAGCAACTGAGTGGATAGGGGTCTCTCCTTATAGTTGGGTGATCTGTTAGCCATCTATGGCTGACCTCTAGGAATCAGGGAGGGTCTTTTGATGTGTAATTTGAATATTAGCTATATCTCAGGCTTTATTTTTGCTGCCCTCAGTTTATAGTACGTAGTTTTGTAAGCTGCCTTAAAAACTTTTAGACACAAGCAAGTTAAAAGAATATGCAGTAGATTTAAATGAGGCTCCTATTTAAAAACATTTAATAAAAGTAATGGTGTAATAATTGTGTTGGTAGTCAAAAGGTAAATTTCAGACTGTGTGTATATGTGTGAAAAGTCAGTGTGTATGTATGTGTATGTATATATGTGTGTATATAAATATATAATAACATACAATATAAAATATACATTTGACACACAATTTAAGTATACAGGTTTAAGATATTTTAAAGTTAAATAACAAATAGAAATAACATATGCA
Organism: Homo sapiens; assembly: GCF_000001405.40. Lineage (NCBI taxonomy): Eukaryota > Metazoa > Chordata > Mammalia > Primates > Hominidae > Homo > Homo sapiens. Next base: position 625,360 of record NW_025791814.1, on the reverse strand, counting down.
TGTAAGTAACATCTAAATTGTTCTATTTAAGTATGTAATTTATAAAATAAAATTATTTAAACTTAAATACATTTTATTTATTTATTTGTTATTGGTGGATTCAAAAACTACTGATGATTAGCCTTCTGTATTAGTTCCTTCTGTGTCTGGTAGAAAGTCAGTGTGGGCCGGGCGCGGTGGCTCACGCCTGTAATCCCAGCACTTTGGGAGGCCGAGGCGGGCGGATCACGAGGTCAGGAGATGGAGACCATCCTGGCTAACACGGTGAAACCCCGTCTCTACTAAAAATACAAAAAATTAGCCGGGCGCGGTGGCGGGCGCCTGTAGTCCCAGCTACTCGGGAGGCTGAGGCAGGAGAATGGCGTGAACCTGGGAGGCGGAGCTTGCAGTGAGCCGAGATCGCGCCACTGCACTCACTCCAGCCTGGGCGACAGCGAGGCTCCGTCTCAAAAAAAAAAAAAAAAAAAAAGAAAGAAAGTCAGTGTGATATTGAAATATGTAGAGTGGCTGACTGTGTTTTATTTTTGGAGGGTGGATGCAAAGGGGGTAGCAGGGAGCTTAGTAGCAAGGGACCTCAGTGAGTCTTGTGTTGTCAGTGAGGCCAGAAATTGATGTAGGCGGAGGAACTAAAACCTAGTTCTTCAATTCCTCTGTATAATAACATAATGAGACTCTGGAAGCGTCTCTAAAAGCTGCTGGAGGAAGCTTCAAGGACATGCAGATGAGTGGAAATGAAGGAGCAGGAGCAAAGAAAGGTGACCTCCATGACAGAGCAGGAAGCTACAGGCTGGGACTGTTGGCGTCACCAAAACATTCTCTGCAGGAGGGATAGACAAGAACTTATAGATGACAGCATCTACCATTTGATTTTAGGATTTTTTCAGTCTTTGCGCTGTGTGGCAATTGTCCTCATCCTACATCTCCCTGTATAAAACAGGTAACCACAGCAGACTTATGTCAGCAGCACTTTGGGGAATGAGGGAGAGAGAGTTGCATTTTATGCTTGGCCTCATGCAAGCTGGAGAAAGAACAGCAGCTTCAGGAGATGACGCAGTGGCAGGAACCAGAGGAAAAAAAACCACCCATGAACATTATCCAAGAGTTTCTTTTTTAGGTGATAAAATCATGAGTTTCATACAAATAGCAGATGAACATTGAGTCAAATATTTTATTTAACTCATTCATGAATGAGGGAATTGCTAAGATGTTGCAACTGGTTCCATTGAAGATTCTATCCACAGAGATTTGTTTTCTATGGGGCAAAATGTATTTGCAGCACTGAGAACAGGAGTCCTTTGCCTTGCTATGGACAGGAAGTGTTTTCATTGCTTTATGTTTTCTATCAGTTAACCTCTATCTCTGCAGAGTTGTAAACAGTCAAGTCAAAGACAAGCTAAGGTATAGATAGGATGGATGGATGAACTGGATAGGGCATTTAATGCCCACTTACTCAATTTCTGCCCACTTCCACCTTTCACAATTCTGCCGGACAATATATTTGAGACGGTGAAATATTCGGGAAGCCTCTGGACAGACCCATAAATCGTAGTCTTTGGATGTGGACTTTGTTTATAGGTGGGGAACCTGCTGAAGATTAGATGAGTTTGGGTGGGTTGAGACATTCTCGAAAGCAAGAACCTTGTCTAACATCTTTTGTTGCCGAGGACCTACATCCTGCCCCGTAGAATTAACAGTTCGTAATTATTGGCCAATAGCCAAAATGTCAGGATTAAAATTGCTTACCTCTCAGAAAAATTAAAAATACTTCCTCAGCCTTGGTAAGGAAAGAAGTGATTAAACATCTAGAGTTTTAACTTTCTATTAAAATTTTAAATTGGAAAGAACCATAGTCATAGAAAGCATTCACAGCAAACTTTAGGAACACACAAAAGACACGTGTGTACCAGGGAGCCCACGCACGTCTGGGTACTATTGTTAAAATGAGAAGAACTAGGCACACTAATCTATTCCAGGGATAGGATGCTTGAAATGGACAAATAGTAATCTAGGTTTATTAATGGGTATTCATAGTTGTTAAAGGAATTATATATAAATAATTTCCAACAAACAGCTTAAGAAATTTTAACTTATGTTTAATTATAACATGCCTCCGTTATACAGGAAAATAAAAAGAAAAAAATTATCATTGTGTAATCAGGCAAAAACATCATGGCTTGTTGATCCTCACAATAATATTGTTAGGAGAAATAGCTATTAAAGATATAATTCCCATGGTAATTTCCTGTTGAAATGTTTGGCCAGTGACACTAAAACCAAGCCAACTTAAATAAATATATTGCCCGTTTAAGTTGATTTCACTTAAAAATAACCCACAGTAATATCATAAATGCCTAAAACCATACTTATCCATAATAGGTAGCTGTTTTTTCCTCCTTACTATTCAAATAGATTCGACATGAAATGAAAGTAAAATCTCACAATGGTGAAAGACTTCTGGAAATTTTAAAATAGATATTTGCTAATTTGTAAGTCCTGCAAGATCATGAGGAGTTTGTGCTTTTCTGCAGATGCACCTGCATGTTTACTTTTCCCATTAAATGACATTTCTTCTGTTTCTAATCTTCTAGAGATGCAGAAGAATTGCGTGGGACATTTTAAAATATTAGTCACAACTAATTTGTCATCAAATTTTGTGAGATCTTTCACTGACACAGATGATCAGTATATAAAAAGCAAGTCAAATATACTTTAAAAAATAATTACATCCACAGCACCACAACTCTACCTTAATAAAAATTTCACAATTAGGCGGGCTGTGTGTCATTAGCCTCCCTGATAGCATTCAGTGTATTGTCACCTCATGTTCAAGCACACATCTGATAGAAGCAAGACATTCTGCCACCTCATTCCACCTTCTCTATTTTACACCTTTAAAAGTGTGGAGGTAGTGTGCTAAGAGTTATAAATTGTCTTGCTGAAATTCTTTGGGAGAAAACATAGGGGGCTTCCATATAAAATAAACAGTGAGACTCAAAAATTCTAGAATCAAACATTTATTGCCCTCTGCTGTCAGGGTCCACCTCCTGGGAATGTGTGTTACCTTTTGCTCTAATTCTTTTTGAAATGTCTCCAGAGAGTATGAAAATGTAGTGATTTCTCTGGTTTTGATTTTCAAAACCAATAAAGTTTTTCCTTTAGTCCAATTTTTAAAACACAAAATGTTTTCAAAGTATACCCATGTTGTAGTGAGTAAAAATTCTGAAAAATTCTCTATATTAAAAAATAAAAATAAAAAAGTTGAGTCTAGAAGGGGCAGAGAGCAAAGAACAGTGTGAAATATCTACAGATGACAAAGACAGTCATTAGCTTTATTATTTTGGGTGCTAGGCACGTGTTTTCAATGTAGTTATACTCTCCCACAGCTATAAGGGCATAAAGCTACATGTTAGAAAAAGTGCTTCTGACACTACATAAGTGTACAATAGCTACGTTTAGAACTGTTCAGTGTGGTCATATTTTAAAATTATGAAATGTAGGGAAGAAATGCAATTATGTGAATAAAAAGACTGGAAATGGTCTTCATTTCTATGCAAGGATGGCCACAAAAAAGGTGACATGGAGCCATTTTCATGTACAAATAAATGAGAAATAATCTCACAAGGAGGTGAGAGGCTGCACTTGCTCTTCCCCCCGGAGTGGTGTTGCCATGGTAATTATAGTGACTTCAGACACTTCTGAGATTTCTGGTTTCACACTCAACTGGGAACGGCGAATCGCCTCTATGGGTGACAGGATCCACTTTGGATCAATAAGCAGTGCACGTGTGTTCCGGGTCTAGCTCTGCCTTTCATTTGCTGTAGCTTCATAAATTGCTCTGTCCCTCACTCAACTGTGACACGGGTCCTGTCTGCCACTCCGGGTTGTTATGGATGGAGAGCCAAAACGCAGCTGCTCAGGAAGTAACTAGGCAGTGCATGTGGGTTAGGATGGCAAGATTTAGTCTCATCATTTGTTGTTTCCACAGTTGAATATAGTTCTGGCTTTATTATGAACTTTAAAAATCAGAAGAAGAAAATCACACTTTCGTAGTGTTGTTGGATTATTTTTGGTCATTTCCACTCATACTGAAAAATGCTGGGTATTTGAGTCCATTTCATTGTTCCTGAGCAAGGCTTTCCTTTGCTCTTGTGAGCTTTTTTTTTTTTTTTTTTTTTTGGAGACAGAGTCTTGCTCTGTCTCTGTTGCCCAGGCTGGAGTGCAGTGGCATGATCTTGGCTCACTGCAAGCTCTGCCTTCTGGGTTCACGCCATTCTCTGCAAGCTTTGCCTCCCGGGTTCATGCCATTCTCCTCCCTCAGCCTCCCGAGTAGCTGGGACTACAGGCACCCGCCACCATGCCTGGCTAATTTTTTTGTATTCTTAGTAGAGACGGGGTTTCACCATGTTAGCCGGGATGGTCTCGATCTCCTGACCTTGTGATCTGTCTGCTTCGGCCTCCCAAAGTGCTGGGATTACAGGCGTGAGCTACCGCACCCGGCCTGTTCTTGTGGTCTTTCTACAGGAAGTGACTTTTGCTGCAGGGAGCTTCTGTTGGGGGAAAAATGAATTTAATAGTTTTGAAATAGTGGGTTTTAAAAAGTGTATGCCCAAGTTTATTTGACTTACAGTTTTGGAGGCTGAGAAGTCCAAGGTCAAAGGGCCGCATCTGGTGCGGGCCTTCTAGCTGCAGCATTTCAGGGTGTAGGGCATCCTAGGCCCAGAGGGCAAAAGCATGGCCTAAAAGAGTTGTTTTTTTCCCAGATGAGAATAAATTGTTAATTCTTTCCCAAATCAGTAATTTTGGTAGGTTGACTAAAATGTTTTCTGATTGCATCAGAGAAAAGATATAAATATTGATATTTAGAGTGCCTTTTGACCTTGAGCCAGTATCATCTTTAAGGTCCAGTTATGTGAAATTCAAAGTGTCAGTGATAATGGCCTTCCTAATGTACATTCTTTACTGTCACTTAAACTTTCTGCACTCAAAACCATGTGGCACATCGCTGTTTAATATGACAGTCCAGCACGAGGCCTTACATTCACAACCTTCAGTAGCAACAGCGTCAAATTTCTATCATCAAAATTGTAGCATGTAAATATGTCACATGAAGATAGGTTTCAATACAGAATGTACGTGAGAGATAAGTAATGTCTACAAACATTAAAAATTCCTCTTGACTATGTTTCAAGTTTCTAGAAAATGAAGTATGATATTTGCAAAAATATAGCTTCAATGTGTTATGCATAGAACTTAATGTGTGTGAGGCTATGAACAAGACTGTCTCAGTCTCTGACCTGTTATTTGTTCACACTGAGTTCAGATTTTTAAAGGGAAGAATACCAGGAGGGAAAGAGCAATACTCTCTCTTCCCTAAAAGGCTTTGGGAAATGCTTTATCTCATGTGTTAGTGATTCTTTAACTTTTGTGTATACAGCCACATCTAGAAAGAGACTATTTCCTTTTCTAACAGGAGCCTATAGATTTCTAAAAGGAGCCTAAGTCAGGGCACAAGGAACTGCCTCTGGGCTGTGAGGCTGGAGCAGCCTTTGAACAAGGACTCCCAGAGAAATGGCGTTTGACCTTCCTCTGCCTCATTTCTGGCGTTCTTGTTTCTTAATGTTGGGTGCAGGCAGTTTCTGTCACAGCTGACTGAGTTTGGGGGTAAAATATTGTGGCACAATATTTAGTTTTGTTTAATTAAATAAATGACATGGTAAACAAATCTCATACATGTTGCTATCATTTACCTGGCACAAAAGACCATTAGCTGTGTGTGTGAGTTTGTGTGTGCGTACATGCATACGCATGTACACACACATATGTCTGAAAATAAGATTCAAAATATTTACAACTTATTTTTCTTCACTGCTAGGATATTCATTTTTACTGCTGACAGATTTTTAAAAATCATGTCAGTCCATGTGGAGAATCCCATGTGATATGGTCTGGCTGTGTCCCCACCCAAATCTCATCTTGAATTGAGCTCCCATAATCCCCTCGTGTTGTGAGAGGGACCCAGTGGGAGGTAATTGAATCATGGGGGCAGGTTTACCCATGCTGTTCTCGTGATAGTGAATAAGTGTAATGAGATCTGATAGTTTTATAAAGGGAAGTTCCCCTGCACACTTTCTCTTGCCTGCTGCCATGTAAGACATGCCTTTGCTCCTCCTTTGCCTTCTGCCATGATTGTGAGGCCTCCCCAGCCATGTGGAACTGAGTCAATTAAAACTCTTTCCTTTATAAATTACCCAATCTTGGATATTTCTTCATAGGAGTATGAAAATGGACTAATACATATGTGAGATGTTTCTAAGGGGACTAAGGAATTAAGCATATCAGAAAACATAGATGAGCAGATGTTACCCCTGCACCGTTAATGATGATGATGATTGTGTACTTCCCTGAGCAGATGGAAGCACTGGGCTTTATAGGGTAGTAAGAGCTGAGTTTCATGTCCAATGGACCTGAGTGGTGAGTGGCTTTTTCATCTTGGTTAAATTACTCATGGCCATGTCTCTGGCTTCATCACATTTAATTGAGGACAATAATAGAATTTATAGGATTACTTAGACGTTGAAATGCCTCATTGCAATGAAGCACTTAGCACAGCACCTGGCACATAGGTGGGCTTCTGTTCTTACAGCATTCTTCCCCCTTATCTGCAGCTCCACTTTCTGCAGTTTGAGTTTTCCTTGATCAACCATGGTCTGAAAATACATGAGTGCAGTACAGTAAGATGTTTAGAGAGAGAGAGACCAAATTCACATAACTCAGAATACAGTATATTGTTTTAATTGTTCTATTTTATTATTATTTATTGTTGTTAATATCTTACTATGTCTAATTTTATAAATTAAACTTTGTCACAGGTGTGGATGTATAGAAAAAAACAAAGCATATAAAGGATTCAGTACTATCCGAAGTTTCAGGCATCCATTGGGGGTCTTGGAAGCTGTGTATAAGGCAGGGCTACTGTATTTGTTATTTTGTTGCAGTCATTGTAATTAGTTGTAGTTGTGGTAGTAGCAGTAATAACAGTAGTGATCATTGTTAGATTTATAGTTCTTTGCTCAAAATCTCAGTTCAACACCTGAAATTAAAAATCCTCCCTATTGGCCAAGAACTGATTTTTTAGGATGTTCCATATATTTTGAAGATTATATGTAACAAAAAGTGGCTATAATTTTAGTACAATGTAACTTTTTACAATTTGCTATTTTATTTGGTGCATAGAAATTAAGGTCATGCAATCACTTTGGAAAATGACCAATCTTTTTAAAAGCTGGCTCTGTGCCTACCCTATGGCAAAGCCATTCCACTCCCAGCTATGTCCCCAAAAGAAAAAAATATTTACCTATGTCCACATGTACTACAGGTTCCCAGGTACACACAGGCATATACAGTGTTCTTGGCAGCACTTTTCATAATAGCTCCAATCAAAAAACTATGCAAATTCCCCCAAACAGCTAAATGGAGTTATGTTCATTCAATATAATACAGCTAAGAAATGAGAATGAACAGCCAACAACTACACACAACCATGTGGATAAATCTTGAAAAGGTAATGTTGAAGGAAGAGAGACAGACACAAGAGAATATATTCTGTGTGGTTCTATTTACATAAACTTCCAAAACAGGCAAAACGAACCTATCCTATTAGAAATCAAGATACTGGGTGGCTTTGAAAGAAGAGTAATGACTATAAAGAAGCATGGGGGGTGGGGCTCAGGGGTCCTGGTAATTTTTTTTCTCTACCTAAATGTGGGTTGCATGGGTGGGATCAGTTGGTGATGATTCAGCTGGGCTATTCAGTTAAATGTACTCTTCTCTAGGTATATTACACTTTACTGACAAGTTTTTTAAAAAGACAGAAAAAAATGTCAGTGGAGAAAATGTTGTTATTTTATCTTTTAAAATACTGAATAAAATGTTAACAATTTAAATGAAAATGCATGATTGGATTTTAGATTAAATATATCATTTTGATAATATTCTAAAATAATTACAAATTTGTGCTCAAATGAAAAGCAGACCTCTCAGTGTTAATAAACACTGTGTGTAATTCAGTTCCTCAAGTAGTATGGGTTTTATCACTTTCTTCCAAAACATAAAAAAGTGAAACTTACTAAGTTTCATATGCTGTTTTAATGGGCAGGTTCTCTGGAAAGGATGTAAGTACATATGGTGGAAATAATTATAGATGACTCACGGCCATCAGTGGAAATTTACACGTCCTTTGGAACTTCAATACTGAGCATCTGAGAAATTGCAAATTTCTACTATAGAAAAGACGATCAGAAAAAATACCGTTTTCTTTTTTTTGCCATTATCATTTTTTAACTATCTCCTTTTTTGTGTGTTAAGCATGGTATCTCCTTTTTCCTATTTCTTTTCCTTTTCTTCTGGTTCTTATCTTTTGTTAGATCAATTTCTGATTTTCTATGGCAGATAGAGAGCTGGTTTTATTTTTCTAGACTATTCAGTGAAAAAGAATTCATATTCCTCTTTATTTGTGAATATTGTATGAATGAGGTTTGAACAGGTATATTTTGAAAATTTCTTTTTAAATTAAAACACATTTTATACTTTTCCACATTGAGATCCTAAATGCCTGTGGGCTGACTGCAGTCTTCCTTAAATACTATTTAGGAAGTTATATAACTTTTGTTTTCTTTGAGCTCTTCCCAAATATTCCAAATTTCATGCAATAAAATATACTTATTTGTACTTTAAATTTTAAAATGAACATTATTTTTATCAGGTCTTGGCTTGCAAAATTATGGTCACAGGACTAAGGTGAGAAAGTAAACGTTTTTCCTACTCTCTCTGAATTTTCCCTCAAGTTTTTTTTGGCAGTTCATGGTTAATTGGATTGTTCACGTAGAGAACTTTCCACTCATTCTTCTTATTGAGGCCTTAGCAGGGAACACTGTATAACATAGCCTACAATGACTGATTTTTGAGCCCTTCCCATCAAAGCTTTCCCTATGACCTGCCCTGCCCACCACCTAACCAATGGTTAGTCAGCAAAGAATAAATTCTTTCCCCCAAAACTCCCCAGTTATAGTCTTCTGAAATTCCTAGAGTCCCTTCTGTCCTCACCTTAAGCACATTCGAAAGCTCATTGTTTAGTTAAGACCACAAACATTTTAGCTGATAAGGTTGTGAGCAAACTCTATTTTAAACATACCTCTTATTAAATGTTTGTGATTGTCACTATCATCATCAATATTATTATGATAAATTGATCACTATGTGCCAGACACTTACCTGTGCATTTTGCATGCAATATATGCATATTAATGTTATCTAAAAATTAAAGCCTTATAACAACTCAATGGGTTATATTAGCCTCTAAACTGAGGCTCAGGAAAGTTAAGAAATGGTCCAAGTCGTATCCATGATGAATGGCTGAGCTGTAGCTCAAACTCAGAGTTGACTGCCCTTTCTCATGCCATATTATCTCCCTAAAATTATCGATATACCTTCACTAAGGGCCTTCAAATGGGGACCCTCCTATAGAAATACAAGGACGTTTCTGGCATAGCCCCTTTCTCTATGAGGTGGTTAGTACAGCATGGGAGTGAAGCACCCAAATGGGGACCCTCCTATAGAAATACAAGGACATTTCTGGTATAGTCCCTTTCTCTATGAGGTGGTTAGTACAGCATGGGAGTGAAGCACCCACCCAAAGATGAAACACTTGTGGAGGAAAGAAGCCTAATAGGATTGGATAACCTGACAGATAGTTCGAATGTCCTACAAAATCAAAAATGGAATGAAATACCAACTTACACACAAAAGAAACTTGAAACTACTCAAATGGAATAGGCTGATGTGTTTTTTTTTAAATTTTATTTATTAATTTATTTATTTAAGACAGAGTCTTACTCTGTTGCCCAGGCTGGAGTGCGACGGCACGATCTAGGCTCACTGCAACCTCCGCCTCCCAGGTTCAAGCGATTCTCCTGCCTCAGCCTCCTGAGTAGCTGGGATTACAGGCGCATGCCACCAAGCCCGGCTAATTTTTATATTTTTAGTAGAGATGGGGTCTCACCATGTTGGTCAGGCTGGTCTTGAACTCCTGACCTTGTGATCTGCCTGCCTCGGCCTCCCAAAGTGCAGCCACTGCGCCCGGCCAGGCTGACCATTTTGTATGGGAAAGTCAGCACTTTCGTGAATGAACACATTGATCAAGCCACTGAGGAAAATGTGATTCAAATCATAAGGAGGCCAGGACGAAGGTCACACAAAGAGCCCCTGACTCTAATCTACAATCATGACGAAGGGGGCCCCAGTCCAGTTCTAGGAGAAGCCTCCCTGCCACATCCTGTGACAAGTTTCACACCAGCAGGGATCTTGCTGAGCCAGTTAGGTGGGCTGAGTCCAGCCCTGGAAGATGGGCCATCCTCGTGTCCTTCTGAAGGGCACTGGCCTGAATGCCAAGACCTAAATAAAAGCAGATTTTGAAGGTTTAAACGTGGAATAAACCCAAGAGTGACCCAGAGGAGCCAGCTGAAGTGCTAATGCACCTTCACAATCAAAGATATGAAAGCTTGTCATTAATTGCGCACGACAGTCTGAAGGAGGAGGGTGGAGCATCTTGCTGGCTGGAGAAACTTCTGGAAACCTTAAGTGCTCTCCAACTTCAGCATCCAGGGTAGGTGAGGCAACAGCAAGCCTACTGACTGTTTGGGGTGATGGGCTTTTTTTTTTCCTGGAGAGATGCCAATCTTCAGAAGCCCTGAGAGCCTGCAGAGCTCCATGGAAGGTCTCTGGCCTAGGTGCCCAGGTGTGGGTCTGCCTGCACTGGGTCTCTGAATGAGCAGGGCTCCCTCGCAGTTCTCGTCGTGGGAACCCTCAGAGGACACGGCAAGAACAACGTTCCCCTCAGTCTCTAATGGACACGGACTGCCCTTCCCAGGCAGAACGCACGCACTCGCCTGCAGAAACCTTGAGTTCACCATTATTTATTATGTCTGGGGGATGCTGCCATCCCCTGTGATGCCCCTGATTAATGATAATGTGCAAACCTGAGGTAATTCGCTGACATGTTAGATCTTTGTGAGGCACCAGAATGGAAGCGGCATTTTTCAAACTCTGCTCTGCGGGAGCCCCAGGGGCTGTTCCAGCTCAGGGGGGAAGGGGAGGGCGGCAGCTCCCGCGGCTGCTGCTCCATTTTTAGCTATTTTATGTGTTTATTTGTTTACAATGCTTGTTAGGATTCTGGATGGACAAAGAAAAGTATTGCCTACAATAAAAGAAAGAAAGAAAAAACAATTAAATGGAATATTATATGCTGCAAAGGAACATGCCAAGGGGTGCTTGGACCATTTTCTGGAATTTTCCAGTACTGAATATGCCTTTGTATTTTTGGTTGTGTTTTTTTTTAATATTTATTATATATATTTTTGAAGACGGAGTCTCACTCTGTCACCCAGGCTAGAGTGCAGTGGCGCAATCTCTGCTCACTACAACCTCCACCTCCTAGGTTCAAGTGATTCTCCTGCCTCAGCCTCCCAAGTAGCTGGGATTACAGGCGCCTGCCACCACACCCAGCTAATTGTTGTATTTTTAGTAGAGAACTGGTTTCACCATGTTGGCCAGGCTGGTCTTGAACTCCTGACCTCAGGTGATCCGCCCGCCTCAGCCTCCCAAAGTGCTAGGAATACAGGCATGAGCCACTACACCTGGCCCTTGCCTTTGTTTTGATGATCGTCTGCATTCATCTGCTAGGGCTGCCACAAAAACATGCCACTGAGCAGGGGTTTGAACAGCAGTCATTTGTTTTCTCATAGTTTTGGAGGCTCTAAGTCCAAGACGAAGCTATCAGCAGGGTGGTTCCTTCCAACACTGTAGATGGCACCTCCTCTCTGTGTCCTAACGTGGTTGTCCTCCGTGTGTGTCTGTGTTCTCACTTCCACCTCTTCCAATGACACCAGTCATACTGGATTAGGGCTCATCTTGATGACCTCACTTTACCTTAATCACCCCTTTGTAGGCCCTATGTCCAAATACCTTATCCCGAGGTACTGGGGGTTGGGACTTCAACATGAATTTTGGAGGGACATCATGCAGCCCATAACAAAATCTGACAATAGTTGTATATGCACATTCTGTAACACATAGAACCTGTATGATCTACCTGATAGGTGACCGCTGCCCAATTTCAGAGCCCTCAGTTTTGGTCATATTTGCGCTGGTGTTAACACCAGGCTATTATCTAAGGGGTCGGCATCCGCAGTCTATCATGTTGGAAAGCATGGCAGCCATTAGGTTGGCCGTTATTGTCAGATGGCTTCTCAGCCCCCTCTTGATTTAGTTACTGCCTATGTCACTGGTGGATTCCCAATAAGCTTTGTAATTAATTCCAGTACTTGCCTTTGTCTATTCAAATTGTACATGCAGTATAACCTTAACCACCTCTAGGTCCAAAATGAATGTGCCACTCTTGGTGCCACTCTTTGTGCCTGCAGCACATTCTGCTTTTCTAATTCATTCTGCTCTCCTTTAGTTTTTAAAAAGTTAAGAGCCGTTACCTAGCCGTAGCTGGCAATTCTTGCTTGCAGGTAAACTGAGTTGCCATGGCTGCTTTTTAGGAAGGTCTCTGCCTGGTTGGTGAACAGCCCCTTTATTCCCCCAGAACAACATGGATACTTCTCCTCAAATAAATCCGTGCCCCGTATGGACCGTCCGCTTTGCCAGGGAAATGGGTTTGTAGCCCACTGAGAGGGCTGACCCATATGACCTTAGCAACAAAAATATGAAGTGCACAGCTGTGTTTGCACCATCAGCATGGCCAAACACCCTTTCTCTTCTCGTTTCTCTCCACACAGTGATGTGCATTAACTGGCACCTGGTTTCTGCATCACACATGCATATTGGGAGAATTGTTATTCTAGAAGGGGATGGAATGTGACACACCTCAGATAATTGCTCTGAGAAATGAGTATGAGGTCTTTTTAAAAAAACTTTACATTTAAACACACAAACCATTTAAAAAAACCACTCCTCCAAAACAGACACACAAGTGAAACAAACCAAATCGACTGTCCATCCATTTAATTTTGAACTATCTGCAATATCACCTTAAAGCTCTAAGCTCCTAATGATTTTGGTCATTACAAATCCAAAATAACATTATTTCAAAATGAAGTTTTACTATGATTTTTCCCATTTGGGAAACAGTATATCCAATACAACAAGATGCATGTGTACCTCCATTAAAATTTTAACAATTAGGAAAATTAGAATTTATATATGATAGATTAAAATATGATTATTTCCTAAAAGTTTTCTTTAGTTTTACGGGTTTGCTTCTGGATTGCTTTCAATAGTTATTAGTGAATTTAAAATTTGATTCAGTATGAAGGTAATGTACACCCATCTTCTTCAGAACACGTATTTTAAAATGTGACATCATCTGTTCTGAGTCTAAGCACTGAAGAATGAAGTGTCCACATTCACCGTATTTATGCACAGACACATTCTCATTCCATTGACATTTAAGTGATGTAATGAACTAAAACTGCCACAAAGAGAGGAGGGTTGGGAGGCTGAGCTCTGGACAGCTCTGTCACTGGGCAAGTAACATGGTGTTTAGAAAATCTCTGCTCCTTTCTGTGCCATTGGTCTATATCTCTGTTTTGGACAAAAAACCAAACACCGCATGTTCTCACTCATAGGTGGGAATTGAACAATGAGAACACTTGCACACAGGAAGGGGAACATCACACACCGGGGCCTGTTGTGGGATGGGGAGAACGGGGAGGAATAGCATTAGGAGATATACCTAATGTAAATGACGAGTTAACGGGTGCAGCACACCAACATGGCACATGTATACATATGTAACAAACCTGCACATTGTGCACATGTACCCTAGAACTTAAAGTATAATAAAATAAAAATAAAAATTAAGTAAAGTAAAATAAAATCTCTGCTCCTGTTTGCTGTCCCCACTGATAAAATGGTAGAGCAGATCACTCCTAAGTCAGAGCTTGTGTAATAGCTGCGTAGGAGTGTGAAACCAGGCTACTTGGGAGCCAGTGCTGGCTCCAGAACTTTCCAGCTGCGTGTCCTTGGGCAGGTGGTTTACACTCTGTTGCCTCAGTTTCTCCAGCAATAAAATAAGAAAAAAATCATAGCCAGCTGATCAGGTTGTTGTGGAGGATTACATTATTAAATCTTGGCCAAGCCCTCGGAGCAGACTGTAACCCTAGTACTGTCTCATGCATAATCAGTTACTGATGTTGTTTTAAAAGCACTGGGTTAAAATTGCTGCACCTAAGATCTAGAACCTGCCCTACCACTGCCTAGCTGTGGTGGCTGGAGGCATAGAGCCCCATAGTTGTGGAAGGAAGGAGTGGCCCCAAAGGCCTCTACCTAGTGAAGTTCACTTCCCCCTGCTTCCTTCCCTAATGTGGTTTCTTAGAGTTGACATAAGCATATTTCTCTGACACACAAACAGATGACTTTTTCTGCAGGATTGGTCAGAACTTTAGAAGTAAAGTGCTCGAGTTGATGAGATAATTTGCAGCTAACTGCTTGAAGTTCATGTTGGTTATGCTAAACCTTAGAGAAAGAAAGCTACCGTTTCTGAATCTTTACCACTTATGTTTTTATCCGCTCTGACACATTAAAGGGAGAAAAATACCAGTAAAGAAATGGCTAGAGAAAATGGAATATGACAGCTAGGGTCTAGGGAGGAAAACCGTGAAAATGTCTGTAATGAAAAGAAAATTGCTAGACAAAAATAATTTGTAATTTGTCTTCTACATGTGGCATTCTAAGACTACTGAATCAATATTGCAAGTTCTTTGTTAGCCATAATAATAGTAATTTTTAATAAATGCCCAGGTGAGGTGGCTCACACTTGTAATCCCATCACTTTGGGAGATCCAGGCAGGAGGATCCCTTTAGTCCAGGAGTTCAAGACCAGCCTAGGCACCATGGGGAAACCCTCTCTCTACAAAAAATACAAAGATTAGCCATACATGGTGGTGCAAACCTGTAGTTCCAGCTTCTTGGGAGGCCGAGGTGGGAGGATCTCTTGAGCTGGGGAGGTCAAGGCTGCAGTGAGCCAACAATCATGCCACTTTGCACTTCAGCCTGGGTGACAGAGAAGACTTTGTCTCAAAAACCTAATAAACAAAACACTTCAGGTGCATGACTAAGAGTAAGCTTCGTGTTGGGCTCAAAATGCTGTTCAGTTGAAGGCGCTGGAGAAGAGAGGGCAGAAAGCTCTTGGACTCTTGGACAGCCTCGCAGAAGCAAACCTTGCTCCAATGAGGGAGGCACCAAATGGCACAGGTGGCTTTGGCAGGACGTTATTGTAAGCCTGCCACGTTTCCGTGGCATACAGTTTAGGATCCAAGGTTCTTTAATATTGTGTTTCCATAGCTTTTTCCTGCAAGGCAGACACGTAACATTAATGAGCTCACAGCACTCTTGGTTTTAGTCGTAGTTACTGAATCCTCATTGGCTGAAAAGCTTTGTGTATTAAGTTACACAATTTTTTTCTTTTGCATCCAAACTTGAAATAAAACATACCAATTTGATTATTTTATATTAATTATAACATGACTTACGTCATTGTGGTTTATTGAGGTTAAAAATTGATGTGCTATACTCAGAAGACAGAAATGATTATTAAGATAAAAGAGGCCCCTGTAATTCTATGCCCCAGAGATTAACATTTTAAACATGTTGGAATAGATTTCTCCTTTCATTTTGCAGTGAAAATATATGGGATTACATTATTCTAAAACCGTTTTTTCCACTGAACCTATTACAGCACTTTTCCATGGACTACATATGCCTCATTGTTAAATTTTTTAGTCAAACACTACATGCAAATAATTTTAATGTCATATGGTTATAAAGAAATTATAACAACAAAAAACTGAGAATGCATTCCCCGTTTTCCTCCCACGAAGAAATCACTCTCATTATTTTTTAACTAAATTTCTGGTATTTAATTTTTTTCAATCTTATTCATGTATTTATTGACTTCATATTGTGATGGTTCAGAAATTTAGGTCACTTTGCCCATATTCCCATCCTCCCAGTATGTCTTACATTTTAGTTAAATCTATTATAATCATGTAAATATTAAGTGTCAAGCCAAGTTGTGTGCTATGATTACATTTTTCCTTTTTGCTTTAAACATCTAACATTTCCACACTTCAAAGCACAAAATGATTTTCCACATGTTCAACTTTGTCAGGGAATTTATTCTATTTTGTTTTTCCAGCAGAGACAGCTCCAGGAGCCCCTCTACCAGCCTCCAATCTGAAGGGGCTGCCACCTTAAGTATTCTTCTCATGTCTCCCCTATGCTGGATTTCCTATTTCCTAAATCCTGTGCTTTCCCATGTCTTTTTTTCTCCCTCCTTTCAGCGGGACATACCATCCATCATTTCTGAGAAAGGATGCATGAGAAGAACATTTTTAAGAACTTATGTTTGCAAAAAGAATATAAGTTTGGAAGTAATTTTTATCTTAGAAATTTTAAAAATTGCAAAGGGAATGATTTCTCCATTGTCTTTTAGCTGCCAGGGTAGGGGTTGTTATAGTTCTGATTGCTGACCTTCGGGTGTAAGTTCACTTTCTTCCTTTTGGGTGGGCAGTGTTGAGGCCATTCTCTTTATTCCTGAAGTCCCGTAACTTTATGAAGGTGTGTGTGGCTGTAGTGTGCTGGGCACTGAGTGGCATCTTGGAATGCAAACACTCCTGCCCCTCAATGTAGGGTGATTTCCCTGTATTTCTTTATGGATGATACCATTCCTACTCTTTCCACCTTTCTCTCCCGCTGGAATTTCTACTGTTCAAACAGACCTCCTGGATGGAGGTAATTTTTTTTTAAATCTTTATTATTTTGTTGTACAAATCTCCTCCTTTTTGACAGTTCAGAAATTTTCGACTTTTGGTTCTTTTCTTTATACTAACTTTCAGAAAATATCTACACTTCCATCTTAAATACCCAATAATCTGTTTCAGTTTAGCCAGAGAATAAACCCCTTAGGCTATCGAGATGCTTCTGGAAGCAGCATAATGTGCAGCTGAATGTGCAGGCGGGGCACGAGGACGCAGAATTTCAGGAAACCCCTCCTTGTTCAGCCCTTGCCCCACTCCAAACCCCAAAACCTTTGAGGCCTCCCCCTCCCCAATCCTGTGTGCAATATTTGCTGTTTTTCCATTTACTCCCTGACTTCAGATTGTTGAGCTTGAGTTCATGGACATTTCATAGTAACCCTGAAATATTATAAGTCTCTGAAATAGTGTATTTCTCTTCCTTTCTCTTCTCGCTCCTTCTCTTCCTCCTCTCTCTGTCTCTGCTATGAAATTAACTAGTTTCTTATTACAAACCAAAAAGTATCTCAGACAGGTCTCAATCGATTGAGGAGGTGCACCCAGGACACAGGTCTGTGCCTTCCTCCAAAGATGATTTTGAGGGTTTGGGGATTTAAAGGAGAAAGGGCAGATATTGGGGAAAGAGAAAGAGAATTTTAAATTTCAGTGAATCTTTATTTTTACATAAGATAAAATAAACATAGGGCAGAGGAAGCAAATCAGATGTGCATTTGTCTCAGATGGGCAGAGGAATGACTGAGTTCTGTCCTTCGTCCCGCACCTGTGAAGATAAGCTATCAATTTATCTCGTCAGGGTGAAATGCAACAGAACTATTTTAGGGTAAAGATCTTGGGGCCCGCAAGGAATTTCCTAGTGGGCAAATTGTGAGGGAGCTATGTAGTTTTTTTTTTTTTTTTTTTTTGGTTAATCTTTGTAGCTATCTTATTTTGGAATAAAATGGGAGGCAAGCTTGCCTGATATAGTTCCCAGCTTGACTTTTCCCTTGGGCTTAGTGATTTTGGGGTCCCACGATTTATTTTCCCCTCACATAATTGATGACATTTTAGTCCTTATTCCTTTACTTTTACTATTTTTAAAATTGCTTATAAAATCCCAATATTTGTGTATTTTTTAATCAATTCTTAGATAAGTTACTGCTTACTATAAATTCGTGTACATTTTACAATATTCCATATTTTAACAAATTACCCTCAAAGACATATCAAATTATTAAGTTTCATTTCTGGAAAGTATGTATAAAAGTGTTGATTCTTCTCTTACACTTCCTGACATTAAGCGTTATTTTTTAATCAATTTTATATACAAGTCAATTTTATGCCATCATTCATACTTCTAAATACGTACTTTTAGAAAGCTACATATTCCTGAAAACAGAACACTTATTCTTTCCACACAAAATAGTCATTTGAAAACTTCTGCAGATATAGACAAGTAAGTCATAAAACATTTAAATGTGTTTACAGAGATCAAGACTAATTATTTTGTAGATTAAATCTTTGTGTGCGTGTGTGTGTTTAAGAAGATTGTGGGGATTAAATCATTGTGTATATGCACAGTGTTTAAGAAGTTAATGTGCTGGAATTAAGAGGCAAAGGCAAATAAAATTGTTTCTAAAAATTTGTGACCTATCTTTGTGTCAGAAACAGCTTATATTTAAATTTGTTGTTTCTATAAGTCCACTTAATTGTCTTGATTGTTTAAATACAGGTAGAGTAATAATGATCAAAATCTGGGAGCCCTCTGGTGGCCAAAATATCTTTAGCTACAGACATACATCTTTGGCTTATGTTCTAGGTTCTCAAGATCTAGTTATTTTAAACTTCTTGAAAGTATAGGCATTTAAAAATAATCAACAGATGAACAAAGTGAAATAAACAAGAAAAAAATGTAATTGCATTAGGAAAACAATGTAAATTTGAAAAGTGATAGCCAGGTTCAACTCAGTTCTTGTAAGTGTTTTTGGAAACTGGCAAAAATCAAATGCATGTATTTGTCCGGGAGAAGCCACAGTATCATTGGAACCTTGTCCACTCTCAGCAATGCAAAAGCCCTTTGAGGTGGTCCCATAGAAATTTATAACATGTTACCCTCAATGAAGTGAAGGCATTTAAATTGGAGGAAAAAAGAAAAGAGGTGTGTTAGCTGTCTTCAGAGGTCAGAAGGGATTCTTTGTCATAGGATCACATTCCTTACCTGGACAGTGCAGGGAGAAACGGAAGCTGAAAAAACAAAACAAAACAAACAAACAGTTTCAAGTCCATTTAAGAAATAAATTATTATTAAAAACTATTTTTAAAAATGGACTGCCTTGATAAGCAGTGAGTTGCCCATCACTGTGAGTACTCAAGCAGGGAGATGGAAACACACTTGTTAGAATTGCCATGGAGGGGACTCAGGCTCTCAAGCTTGGGTCTAAAGTACATGGTCTCTTCCAGTGCTGTAACCCTGGGGCTACGTGGATCAACAATCAACCATCAGGTAGGAACTGTTGATGGCCTCAGAGCCTGTCTCTTTAAATCAGAGTTTCAGGAATGAAAAGTGATATTGGCATGAGAGGTCTTGGGTCTAGACAGGAGTGAATGTCATTTGTCTCAAGTTCTAGGAGGGGTAGATGTATCCAGCTGCATGCCGCCTTACTTCTGAAGGGATAAAAGCAGAGATGGCTTCTGATCTCCAGCAACTCCTTAGTTGTTCATAAGCAATGAATTTAGAATCACAGATGGGACCACACATATGTCTGTGGGATGCTGGCGTTTCTTTCTGAACAACAGTTCCATTTTTATTGCACTCCTTGTGACCACATCTGCATGTTTCACAGTCTTTTTGAGATTTTTGCAGGCATGATTCCGTCACCCAAAACAGCAAGGATATGCTACTCTTATTTCTATGCCTTCAAAAACAAACAGATCTGCAGATTTGACAACCTTGCTGAAAATATTTTTTTTTTTTTTACCAAACGTGTTTATAATCAAACAAGTTGTCAGAACAAGGGGTCATTGTTGCTTTCTCAAGTATTTCAAGAGTAAGCTGTAATGGCATTTGGAGAGAGAATATAATTTTATTCTCTAGAACAGGGGTGTCCAGTCTTTTGGCTTCCCTGGGGAACATTGGAAGAAGAATTGTCTTGGGCCACTCATAAAATACCCTAATGATAGCTGATGAACTAAAATAAATTGCAAAAATGTCTCATGTTTTAAGAAAGTTTACACATTAGTGTTGGGCCACATTCAAAGCCGTCCTGGGCCGCGGGTGGCCTGCACGCCACGGGTGGGACATGCGTGCTCTAAAGGAAATGAGATGAATGGCTCGTCTCATTATTTTTAATGGAACAGAGCTTCTGTAGTTGATCTGGATCCATTTGAACAGGTGATTTAACCCACTTGGGTGCCTCAGTTTACTCATCATTGAAGGTACCTTTTCACATGCAGTTCTATATCAAATGTTCAAACAGAGCTTTTGGGAGACGTTTAAGCTCAGACCTGAAAGAAGAGAAAGAGCCGCTCATGATAACTGGAATAACAGCATTGTGGGGAGAGAGAAAAGCAGGTGCAAAGGAGGCCAAGAAGCATTTCATGTGTTTCGTGCAGCAAAAGGACAACACATCCCAAGCCAAGTAGTAGAAGGATAGATTGATGAGAAAGGATGTTGAAGAGACACACTGATGCCAGATCTTGCAAGATCTTATATGTACATGAAGGGAATTGGGATCTTATTTTAGTGCAAAGACGAGCCACTTTTAAGCATTTTAAACAGACGAAAACAATTTTATTTACATGGTTCAAAGATGGTTCTGGGCCAGATGCGGTGGCTCACACCTGTAATCCCAGCACTTCGGGAGGCCAAGGCAGGCGGATCATGAGATAAAGAGATCGATACCATCCTAGCCAACGTGGTGAAACCTCATCTCTACTAAAAATACAAAAATTAGCTGGGCATGGTGATGTGTGCCTGTAGTCCCAGCTACTCGGGAGGCTGAGGACAGAGAATTGCATGGATCTGGGAGGCAGAGGTTGCAGTGAGCTGAGATTGCACCACCGTGCTCCAGCCTGGCAACAGAGCGAGACTCTGCTTCAAAAAAAAAAAAAAAAGATGGTTCTGGGGAGAATGAATTAGTGACGGAACAGGAACAGATGCAGAGAATCCAGGTGCACTTGGGACTGAACAGGGTGGCTCTTTCAAAGATGGAGGAAAGTGGGTAGAAGTCGGATATATTTTAAAAGTGGGCTGGACAGGAGTACCCTGATGTTGCAAGTGAGGAAAACTGAAGAGTCGCAATGACTCCTGTTTTGTTTTTGCTTGGACAGTGCTTGTAGATAGAATGAAAAGCAATGCCTTTGTGTGTATGGGGGTTCTAAAGTGAGGGAGTCATGAACTGAGGCTCAGCTTTGGGAACCTTACATTTAAGTGACTGTGAACAGTTTCTACCTTCCTCTGAGCCTGTTCTCTATTTTTCCCCATTGTACTCATCACTTTCTAACATGCTACCTAGTTTATTTATCTTGTTTATTGTTTCTTGTCAATCTCCCTGCTCCACCTGCTCCCTGCTCCTGCATTGAAAGGAAGGTCCATGTGGGCAGCGATTTACTGATTTACTTTTATTGATGTTCCCAGAACAGTCCCGGAGCCTCCAAGGCATTCAGAGAACCTCTGTAGAGGTGTGAAGGAAGCAGTCAGGCTGCAGAGTTCAAAAGAGAGACTTGGGAGATAGAAATGTGGGAGAAATTCATATGTGGATGGTAAAATCATGAAAATGGATATGGTTACCTCAGGAAAGAGTGTGCAGATGGTTCAGGAAACAGCTGGAGAATCTCTAGTTGATGTTTGGAGGGGAAGGATGAGATGGCAAAGCAGAACCAGCAGTGGGCATTTTATCAGGTGAGAGGTTAGAGGGGGATTGTCCTAGAAGCCAAGAAAAGAGAGGAATTTCAGAAAAGGAGGTGCTCACCTTCAGAGGTGCTTTCTAGTGAAGTATGAGGTAAGGCCAACAGTTGCGGGATGGGTGTCTAGGGATGAGAAGACAAATGATGGAGCTCAGGGAACAAGAAGGATGCCAAAGAGGCTGGAAGCAGATGTTAATGATGGTGCAGCCTTCTGGAACCAGCCTCTAAGGAGCAGGGGTCTGGACCTGCACATGGATGGGTGGTGCCAATCTGTGATTTGAAAGCCAGCATGGGGACCAAGGATGGACCTTCTCTTTATCTGGTCCTGATGAAGGTCAGGAAGAGCAGCAGCCTATGTTGCAAAGGATGGGGTGAGATTGGGTCTACAGAGGATGCCCAAGTTTCAGTTAAGACCTGGGGAAAGTGGGGATGATCAGAGCCTATGCTGCTGATATTGGAGGGGAATTTCAGAGAACACACTGGAAGAACTGATGGAAGAAGGGGTGATTGGACAAATGAGCAGACATTCAGTGCAATACCGGGTGGTCTCGGTATGAGCAGTGAGGCTTGCATTTCTGATGCTGATTGAGATGGACAGAAGAATATCAGGGCACTGGGCATAGTTGTTATTGGATGTTCAGCTATGTCCAGCTCACCACATGTGATTTAAACTAGGCATTTGGGGTTTATTTTTAAAGTGCATTTTAGAAATTCCCAGATAACTCCTTGCTTGCAAGCCATTATCTAGTAGGTGTGCAATAATAATGAGCTTCTCAATGCCATCATTTTAGTATCCTAAGGAAGTATATTACAATGCTCGTTATTAGGCTGAATAATATGAAATTGCTGTTTTATATGTCAAATGTGGACCAATCAAGCAATTTCAGATGGTTCAACCTAGCACTCCTTATAGCAGAAAGTATGTCAAAGAGGAAATAGTAGCAACAATTGCAGTGATACAATAAATCAACTCTTGAAAATACTTTGAACTATATGGAATAAAAATAAGATTAACATTTCTATTTTGCAAAGTTGAATATCAGTTGACTTTTCAGAAATGACTGGGGGTTGGGAAATGACTCTTCTCCTGGCCCCCACATTTACCATGTGGCACCTAACTCTGATCAGGTGCTACAAGTGGGAATTCTGCTCTAGCTTTCACCTTAGGGTTGCATTAGAATCATCTAGGGATTAAGATTCCTGACACTCAGGCTGTAAACCAATCAATTAGATCACCTAGGGATGGAACCCAGGTATCTATACATTTTAATTGGCCCTGAGTGGTTTCAATGTATCAAGATTGAGAACTATTGCTCTAAACCAGTGCTTTCAAACTGTCATGCATATGGTTCACTTGGGGATCTTTATTGCCACCTCCCCTGCCTAAGCATTCTAATTCCATGGGTCTTGGGTGCAACAAAGATGTGAAAATTTTTTAAAGATCTCCACGTGATTCCAATGTGCAGTAACATTTTGGATGCCTTGCTCAGTCTAAACCAAGAGCTACATTAAGCCAGCGGTTCTCAGGCATGCATCACATCAGGCTTACTTGGAGGACTTGTCAAACCAGAGTGTTAGCCATGGCTCTAAGATTTTTATTCCAGCTGCCAGAAGATGGGTCCAAGAATTTGATTTGCTAACCCATTCTCAGGTGACACTTCTGCTACTGGTCTTGGTGCCACATCATGAGAGCCTCTGTACCAGGCTCTAATAGAAGTACTCTTGGGTTCCTGTTTGTGGGTGGTATGGCTGGGATCTCCTATATTCCCTGCATGAAATTTTCTTATCTGAACTTGCAGGAAGGAGTTCCAAGAGGAAAGACGTGGGTTAAAAATCCCATCTGCTCCCTACTGCCTCCTTATCTTCCTGTGGTCATTTTTCTATTCTTTTCTGCCATATTCATTTCCTGCTGCTGCTGCTTTAACAAATTAGCACACACCTAAGTGGCTTAAGACAAAGTTATTGTCATACTATTGTGGATGTCAGAAGTCCAGAGCGTTAAATGCTCTCAGTGGTCTAAAATTAAGGTGTTGGCAGAGCTAGGTCCCTTTCTGGGGGCTCTAGAGCAGTTCTGCTTGAGTTTCCCAGCTTTTTGAGACAACTTGCAGCTCTTGACTCACAATCCATTAGTCCCTTCTCTCTGCAAAGCCAGCAATGGCCATTCAAGTCTTTTTCACATTGCATCGCCGGCTCTGATGCTTGCTTCCACTTTTAAGAACTCATGATTACCTTGGACCCACGTGGATAATCCAGGCTAATCTCCCTACATTAAAGTCAGCTGAGGAGCAACCTTAACTCCCCTTTGCCATGAAACCTTACACATTCACAGGTTCTGCGGATTGGGATGCAAACGTATTTGTGGGGGGATTGGGACATTATTCTACCTGTCACACCTGCCTCCCCCCAGACCCCAGAGCTGGAATGCTTGAGTGTGAAACCAGCTCTGCCTCTTAGAGCTGGGTTACCTGGAGCAGGTCATTTAACTTCTCTAAACTGCTGGAACCCAGGGAAATAAAGTATCTACCTCACAGTATTTGTGGCAGGGCTACCTACTGTGGGTAATGAATCATATGTATGTGTGCCAGGTCCTGGAAAAGGGATTTTAGAAAATGTTATTATTATTGTTATAATGTTCATCTTTTGCAATTGTATTAAGAGTTTCTGCCTATAGTCACACAGTTCCTCATTTCATAGGCAAACACCAGTTTCTCGGGTATCCTTTCAGAGCTACTCTATGCATGTATAAGCATATGCAAATATATAATTTATTTGCAGAAGTGGTAAAGTATTATGCCTATGTGAATAATACTTCATTCATGTTTTTTCTTTCTTTTAAACAGCTGCATTGTTCCTATTTTATGAATATACTTCATTTACTTAGCTAGCCTTTATTGATGAATATTTTGTGTTCAATTCTTTTGCAACTATGAACAGGGCTGTAACTGATAGTCGTATAAATCAATAAGCTTGCATATGCACCGTATATCTGTTGTATAAATTCCTAGAAGTGAGTCTTCTGAATCAAAGGTTATATACACTTTAAACGTGTGATAGATGTTGCCAAATTTGTCTCTGTATATATTTTATCCATTTTCATTTCCATCAGTACTATGAGAATGTGTATTTCCATATCTCTTTGGCTGATTCATGTCACCCAGCATTATTATTTCTGCCGTTCTGACAGTTGAGAATAACATTTCATGTTTTTTATTTGCATCTCTCTTTTGAAGAAAACCAGCATCTTTTCACACATTTCTTAGCAATCATATTTCCTTTTCAATTAACTACCCATTTATGTCCCTCATCCATCATGTTTTTGGGTGGTTGATTTTTTTCTTTAATGGATAATTAATAGGATTTACTCACAGTTTAAGGAAAGATCTATTTTCTGTGGTCTAAATTACAAAACATTTTCCTACTTTGTTTACTTTTTGCTTTTGCTGTAAATAATTATTTTTTATGTGGTTAAGTTTCTAAGTTGTTTATGGAATCATAATTTTGTATCATACTCAGATCTTTGCTATCTTAGGCTACAGAAAACAAAATTTCCCATATTTTTGTCTAATAATAACATTATTTTATGTTTGTCATTTGTATCTCTGGAACTTGTTTTTATTTTTTATTTTTATTTTTTTCTTCCAACTTTTTAAAACATTTAATGATATTCTATTTTAAGTTCTGGGGTACCTGTGCAGGATGTGCAGGTTTGTTACATAGGTAAATATGTGCCATGGTGGTTTGCTGCACCTATCAACCCATTACCTAGGTATTAAGCCCAGCATGCATTAGCTATTTATCCTGATGCTCTCCTTTCCCCAATGCCACCAACAGTCCCCAGTGTGTGTTGTTCCCCTCCTTGTGTCCATGTGTTCTCATTGTTCAGCTCCCACTTATAAGTGAGAAAATGCGGTGTTTGGTTTTCTGCTCCTGTGTTAGTTTGCTGAGGATAATGGCTTCCAGTTCCATCTGTGTCCCAGCAAAGGACATGATCTCGTGGAACTTGTTTTTATTTGATGAATTCGATAGGAATGCAATTTTAGTTTTTTCCACAAGTTCCAGTTGCCTCAACACCATTTATCCATACTTGATTCTGTTTTTCCTACCGATTGCTACCTTATTTATTCTTTTTTTTTGGGTGGGGGGCAGGTTTTCTTTAAAATCTGGTTGTTTTTGCATGTTTACTTTAAAACTGGATTACTTTGCTGGAGAAAAAAATATCTTTCATATTTTGCTAGAGTTGTTTGAAATATATAGATTAATTCATGCATTGCTTTCTTTAGGATATTGTGTTCCCATCTTAAGTAGAGTCTGCATTCCGCTTACTCAATGGTCATTTTGTGTAGTAAAGAAGCATTTCAACGTGCTGTTCATATGGTTTGTACACATTTTTTATACTTATGCTTTTTGTTTCTATTGTGCATGGATCTTGGATCTGAAAGCATGCTTCTTTGTACATACTTAGGCAACCTATTTACTTTTTACTTTTTACTCAGTCACTTCACTGAATTATCTTTACCATGTCTAAGAGTTTTTCCATTGGTTCTCATGAACTTTTTATTTATACAGTTATATTTTGTGCAAACAATGGTAATTTCCTTTCTTTTTTAATATGCACAGTTTTAATTTCCTTCTCTTATCGAATGGTATGTTCTAGCATTTAATTTCATCACTATCTGATTCATTCCCTGTTCTCATTTCTAATTTTGTTTTGTTCTTCTTTTCTTGCTTAGTTTAATCAACAATCTAATTTTTATTTCAAAACTTTTGATTTATTTAATAGCTCTAACATCATTCTGTTTTCGAATGCATTGATTCTTGTGTTTATGATTTTATTAACTTGTTCCTTTTGCTTTTTTGTTCGTATTTTATTGATTTTTTTTCTAGTTCTTTTAGTTGGATGCTTATGTCATTTATTTTCATCCTTTCTTGTTATTTATATACGTATGTGTACAAGACTTAAAATGTCTCCTGAGCATTGCTTTTAACATTTTACCTAGGTTCTACTCTCATATATAACTTTTGTATATGTTCTCCAGTCACCGTTTTGGTTTCCTTTGTGATTCAAGAGTGAATTCTTGGTCATAAATCCTGATAAGTTCTAACTTTGTGGGGAAATATTTAATGAACTTCTCTTTGTGACCTAACATGTCTTCAAGATTGGCAATTTTTTCCTTGATTGCCGGGAAGGAATATGAATTATCTGTCCTTAGGTTACAGAATTAGGTAAAGTACAAATAGATCTAACTATGTTGTTTAAATCTTCATTATTTTTGCTTTTGATGTTTAATCAACAATCTAATTTTTTATCTTAAAACTTTACATTTACTTAATAGGTCTAACATGATTCTGTTTTCAAATGCATTCATTCTTGTATTTACGTTTTTATTAACTTGTTCCTTTTGCTTTCCTCATGCATATTTTATTGGCTTTTTTCTAGTTCTTTCAGTTGGATGCTTATGTCATTTATTTTCATCCTTTCTTATTATTTACATATGTATGTGTACGAGACTTAAAATGTCTCCTGAGCATTGCTTTTAACATATTACCTAGGTTCTACTTCATATACAACTTTTGTAAATGTTCTTCGATCTCTGGTTTTGTTTCCTTTGTAATTCAAGAGTGAATTCTTGGTCATAAATCCTGATAAGTTATAACTTTGTGGGGAAATATTTAATGAACTTCTCTTTGTGACCTAGCATGTCTTCAAGATTGGCATTTTTTTCCTCAGTTGCTGGGAAGGAAGGTCAATTATCTGTCCTTAGGTTATAGAATTAGGTAAAGTACAAATAGATATAACTATGTTGTTTAAATCTTCATTATTTTTCTTTCGTTGTATACTGGGTCAGTCATGGACTGAGAGATGTGAATTGAAGTCCCTCACTATTGACATACTTCTGCCTATTTAAAAAATTCTTGTAGGTTTCACTTTATTAAATTTGATGTAATATTTTCATCGTGTGCACATATTCATACCTCTTACATGTTTATTGCTGAGTATATGCTTACTCATCATAAAGGGCCATGCTTTGTCACAGGAATGCTTTCTACCCTGTTTTAACTGTGTCTGCTACTCAGAACATGGCCATGGCTTTCCTTTCCAATTTGCCTGATTTGCCTTTCCACATTATTAATATTTGATATTTGTAAATACTTTAAAACTTACCACAACAATGTATAGTTAAGTTTGTGGTCCAAAGGGAGGCATATGTAGCACATTCACATTGTAAATATCATATTTTACGTTATTCTTTCTCTTTATATCTTTATTTTGCATTTTCCCCTCTTTTTCTGTGTAAGTGTGTGCAATATTTCTTTTCATAATATGAAAATGTGGGATGTTTTTAGTTTTTATAATGGCTAACTCTGTAATTACAAATTGATATAATACAGGTTTTTTTGTTTGTTTGTTTGTTTGTTTGTTTTATTTTATTATTTTTTTTGAGACAGGGTCTTTCTCTGTCCCCCAGGCTGGGGTGCCGTGGTGCAACTGTGGCTCACTACAGCCTCAAACTCCCGGGCTCAAGCAATCCTCCCGCTTCAGCCTCCTGAGTAGCTGGGACCACAGGCATGTGCCACCACACCTGACTAACTTTGTATATTTTGGTAGAGATGGAGTTTCACCATACTGCCCAGGCTGGTCTCGAACTCCTAGGCTCAAGCAATCCTCCCGCCTTGGCTTTCCGAAGTGCTGAGGTTACAGGTGTGAGCTACCATGCGCAGCCAGCCTTCTTCTTTTTCCAAATACAGTGTCAACTTCCCACTATGGCCAGAGATGAAATTATAAAGTATTCTAAGTATGCCACTCCCCAAATTAACTTGGTTATATTTTTATTGGTTTTTCCAGTATTTATATCTTGATTAATTGATTTATCACCATTAAAGAATCTATTTGATTCCTGTATAGGCATCCCTCTATCCCTTATCTCTCATCTTCTTTGTCCTATGGACTTTTGTTACAGTAATTCTAAATTGCCATGATTTACAATTGATTTCTGTACAGTAATTTCCACAGATATTTTACTCCTAATACTATAGTTAAATAGAATAAATGTGGAGAGACAATACTTTGCTATGGTTTTGTGATTTTTCATCATTTTATTATGAAAAGTCATAAATATATAGAAATATGAAAATAATTGTATTGTGAGCACCCATTAACCATTACCTGGATTGTACAATCAATATATGCAATATTTGCTTTACCTATTAGCTATCCATTTAGTGACACTCATCATTCCATTGTATTCACAATAATTTTTGTATTGTGTATTCACAATAATTTTTGTATTATTGTGAAGTGTATTGCACTTCACAATAATTTTCAGATAGCAATCGACTTTACCTTTGAACACGTTAGCATACATATCGTTAGCTAGAGTTCAATATTAGTGGTCTTTCCTCATTTTCTCATTAGCTAATTTTTTTTCTGATTGTCAGGAAGATTTTACAGCCCCTGCAATTCCTGCCTATTTTCCCATTTGAAAATGTGACCTGTAATCATATAATTAAATGTTATTCTGCCTGGGTATAACATTTTGTTTTCTTGAGAATTTCATAGATGTTATCCCAATAGTTTCATAAGTAGACTGTTACTGTGAGAAAATCTGAGATTGGTGTAATTTTAATTTACTTTTTTTTAAGTGAACTCTAAAAAATTTTTTTTCTAATTATAATTTATCTACAAAAGTCCAATTAATGAAATACTAATTTAGATACAGTTCTTGCTAAATTTTTAATATCAACTATTCTTAGGGCATTGTGATCATTTTCATCTGCATATTCAAGCCTTCTTGCAATGATACTTCTCTATTATTTAAAAAAATTATATTTAATACTTTTTTCTTTTTCTTTTCTTTTATTATTATTATACTTTAAGTTTTAGGGTACATGTGCACAATGTGCAGGTTTGTTACATATGTATACATGTGCCATGTTGGTGTGCTGCACCCATTAACTCGTCATTTAGCATTAGGTATATTAATACTTTTTAGCTCATTTATGTGCTGCTCTTCCCCGAGCACACCAGTTATGCAGATTTTGAATCTCCTTGTCTTCTTCCCTGTCTCTCTCCCTTGAATATTTTTTCCTATCTATCTATTTATCATCTATCTATCATCTATCAATCCATCAATCTATTTATCTATCATCCATGTCGTTTTTTTGTTTTGTTTTGTTTGTTTTTTGAGAGAGAGCCTCACTTTGTTGCCCAAGCTGGAATGCAGTGGGGTGATTTCAGCTCACTGCAACCTCCACCTCCTGGATTCAACCGATACTCCTGCCTCAGCCTCCCCAGTAGCTGGGATCACAGGTGCATGCCACCATGCCCAGCTAATGTTTGTATATTTACAGTAGAGACGGGGTTTCGCTATGTTGGCCAGGCTGGTCTTGAACTCCTGACCTCAAGTGATTCACCAGCCTCATCCTCCCAAAGTGCTGGGATTACAGGTGTGAGCCACCGTGCCTGGCTTGGTTTATGTTTCTAATGCAATTCTTCCTCTTCTGGACAGTGTCTAGTTTCTTTGGGTTGATTACAATATGGCAATCAGTTTTTTTATTTTTTAATTCCCTTTTTTTCTTTCAAGTATTCTGATAGCTTATATTCCATCTTTCTCTCGTCTGAACTTCATCTTTTACCTCTGCTCTGAGCTATTTGATTGCTTCATTCAGTTCTTTTCATTCATGACCATACATTTCGTTCAAATGATTCGTCGGCTCAATAACTACTTTTTCTGGTGGAGCATTATGTTCCACTTGTTTTTCCAGTGCTTCTCTGAACCTGGTCTTACATTACATTGATATCAATCCCATGCTGGGAGCTTCTTGATCTATGTCTCGCTTTTTGGTGGAAGTCTTCCTAGATCAGGTACTTGCAAAAGGTTTATTTGGAGCGGGGAAAGCATAACTAGATTAGTAGGAGTCATCCCCCATTTACAGGGAAGTACCTTCTGATATCAGGTTACATTTCTGTGTGAGTTGTTCCACTTCACTTCTCTCCAGCCTACCAAGGTCAGCAGGTTGTGCGCAGTTTGTGATTCTGAGGACCTCTGCCTCACCCATTCTTGTGGACGTCGAGATAGAATTTATCTGGCCCTGCCTCTCCTACTATTTTATGGTGCCACACACTCGAAAGGAGAGGTACCCATCACCAAAGTCATCACCAAAGTCTGTGATTAAGCCATTGGTAGTGTTTCCTCTCTGTATATTTACCCTACTTTGAGAAGAATGCTTCTGCCTGAGATACTGCAGAGACCTTCTTGTGGCGACTTCTACATTTTCATTTGATTTCCCTTGATTTGGGAAGGTGATTTGCATGTACGGAAATCACTTAGTTTTTTTCAAAGATGAATTGTATAAACTCTGCAGCTATTAAACACTTCCCCGTGTGAACTCTTTGCCCATCCTTCCTCTTCATTCTAGAAGGATTCCTTTCTGTTCTATATAGTGCCTTTACATTGTTATATTGCTTTTTCTGCTTTAGTCATACATTTTTTAAAGTGGGAAAATTGGGTAATTGAAAATTGAGTGTTTCAGAGTGGTCTTCACAGAAAACTTTCACAGATATGGTTTCATTTCATCCTTTTGACAATCCTTCAATTTGGGCATTGTAATCTTCATTTCACAGAAGAACAAAAGAAACTCAGAGCACATGTTATGGCTAAAGCCACATACGAACACGTGACTAGGCTGAGTTTCTGACACCTTCATTGTTTCATTATACTGCCTTTCATAACTGGGAATGAAACCTGAACAGTCCCCTGAACATGGTGAGAGTTTAGACATTTGATATAGATTAGAAAAAAGAGAAAATTGCCCTGATTCATCATGAGCAGACTTTGCCATGGTGACAGACTGTCTAATTGGCTTATATATATCTTTCTGTTTCAGTCCGTAAGTTTGCTCATTAGGATGTGTTTTTCTTTATCCTACCTAGGCAGGTATTTGGGGTGTACTCGTGAACCTTGTTCCCATGTTAGGGCCCTGTTGGAGAGTAGAATAGTTTCATGTGCCAGGCATAGGCCCAGCCAAGGACATATCCCCTGCTTCGATGTACTTACACACAATGGATGCCTTTGCTGATTCAAGGGCCAAGGCTCTTACTTCCTTTTAGTCTTGTTAGTGACTAATTAGTTCATCTCCTGAGCTTTTCAGTTAGAATACTTTTACAGGAGGGCAGGGACTGTTTGTACTTTATATAACCTCAGTGCTTCAAGCATTTCAATATAAATGTTTCTTAATTGAATATTATCTGTTCTTAAAAGAAGAGTTGTAGCACTTTGATGTTCTACTTTTGTTTATCTCTTGTCAACAGCAGCAAATATTTATTGGCATTAGTACTAAGCAATGCTCAGATGGATGGTGGAATTGTCATCCTAAGGTGTTGGATCAGGACATGGGCAGTGGTCCCCAAGGATAGCTGGAAAATCGTTGAGGGTAATTGAAGCTTTCTGGGATGTTTTGCAAATGCAAAGGAAAACATGCATTTTGTTGTTGCAGGCGTTTTGTGCATTGAGGACATAAAGTCATTTGCCTGTCATAGTGCAGAATCTGTCAGGATTGCAGCTGTCAGCTTGTCAGTGTGACCTTTCCTAGTGTGACATACCATGGAATTTTATGTCATGCTAGGACAATATGACAGGACTGTGCATTGCTTTTTCAGTAGATCTCTCCATCCTTATCTTCTCAAGAAAGAATACATTCTGAAAGAGATAAGGGAGTACGCTTATCACATATTAATCCTATAAAGTCAGAAAGCAGATAAAAAGGTTATACATTAAGCTTGATTTTATGCAGTAATTCACATAAGTGTGTGATATTACTTATGTGTGTTTGCATGTATGTGTAGATATACACATATATCTCACACACACACACACACACACACACACACACACACACACACACACACACACAAAGTCTTTAAAATTCAGGAACCAGAGAGGCAGCCATGTTTCTGTCTAGCAGCAGGCAAAGAAAGACTGGAAATATCCAAACTCATTTTAAATGCCATTCTGAACTTAATATGGAATTACCTAATTATGTCTAATTCAACAACTGAAGCATAAACTACTGATTTCAGCCCAAGCCAGAATTTTACAGATTTCCCTATTTTCCTGTATAGAATATAACACTTGGCACAAATCCTAGATCACATCTTCTTTGCAGCTATTACCAAGGCTCTATGAGCCTTGGTAGAGAATGGTTTGCATCATGCACTAAAAAAAAAGCAACTAAATCCTAACATTTTGAGTTTCTTTTTTTCTATTGGTAGGGAACTCTCACAGACGTTGATATCACATAACCTAGTAGCATCCTGCTTGCTAGAGCATGAGTGCTGTATTGTATGCTTTATGAAATAGAATATAGAAGTTTGCTTGATACTATTTGGCAGGTAATATATTTTATACTTTGTATAATGCTAATAAGTTATTAGAGTAACTGTTGAAACTAAACTTTCAATTGAAAAATGTTTACGAGCAAAACAAGAATTGCATACGATATCACTCTTTAACTTCTTAACTTCACTAAATATCATAAACCTCTTTATGTCCCGATGCACACGTTTCCTGAACCAGCTTGTAAAAGGTGTAATTGTTCAGAAATCAGATTTGAATACTCAGTTTTTTATTTCACAAGTTAGATTGATGCATTTACAGAGTATTTTCCAGGATACCTCCAGGATACCTGTGTGTGTGTGTGTGTGTGTGTGTGTGTGTAATATAGTGTATACATAGTATGTATATACTATTATAGATATTATATAGTGCTCTGTATCTATATATAGTACATATAGTCTGTGTATCTATACAGTGTTCTGTATTTTTCATTGGATGTATTTTTCTCCACATTTAATCATCTTGATTTTGTGTATAATGGGTAGGAAAAATTATTTTTGAAATTCTCCTGGTTGAGGGGCCTATCGGTACTTCATAGTCCCAGGGAGGTAATCAATTGGAATCTTTCAGCAGTAGCGCTGACTGTTGAGGGACCCTTCTGTCATAACCAGTATCCACAGTGAACTGGGAATACCTCCTTAAACCCATTTATGCTGGAGGTTGCAATTTTTTTGAATTTTTGCGTCAGTGAAAAATCAGACTTTGATGATGACCTTGAGCAGTAGGATATAAATAACTCCCACATGTTTAGTGTTCCAATAATGGAACACTTGGGTATTGCATTGATGTTAATAATCCAAATAGTTTCTGGCGTGCACACATCCTCCAGCCACCCTGAAATTCGAACCCTAGTGATTTGATTTATTTGTACACTTCTAGGCAGTCCACCATGTGTTCTGGAAACAGTTGCGGCTAAATTACTATCATTGTTGTGCTTTGGCACATGGATGTTTGATGCAACTGAGAAAGCAATTTTAATGGAATTTATTCTGACAGCTATATATACCTGGTGCAGACTTAATATGACATGATACGAGCCCCACACACCTAATTGTGTAGGATTCTTATGAATACATCACATGGATACAAAACCAAGAAACACTCAATTATCTCATGTGTTTGATGTGGAAATTTCTTTACTACCCCAAGTCTGTTACCTTTCATAACCATTAAAGCAGCCCCACTAATCTTTTTATAAAGATTTATGTTTCATTCAAAAAGAAGGGATGTCTAAGCCAGTAGAAAGTGCCATGGGGAGCTGGGCCATAATAGTAAGTGCTCTCCTTTCATTAAAATACCTCCTGTTCTTTTTTATAAATGCTGGAGACTGGCCTTCTCTTACATTGTGGCCCTTTGGAGTCTGAACAACTTAACCTCAGCCATCAACAGGCGATCCAAATTCCAGTGGGGCAGAGCCTCTGGATGATGGGGCTGAATGCCCAGAGATGACTTGCAAAGCATCTCGGAAATCTTTGGCCTTCCTGCCCCCAACTCCACTGACGTGCATGCTTATTTGTAGGCCTGCCCTTGAAGGACAAGGCATACAGATTTTCATCCATCCTGGAATGGTCCAGCCAACTGGCCAGAATGCCCACCAACAGAACATATCTTGAGCAGGAGGGTAGGTGACCTGCAGAGATTCACACGTTTATAAAATAAGATTGAAATCCTAAGATGCAAAAAAGAAACAAATAGTACTGTTCAATCGTTACTGGAAATTTTACATATGCGTTCCTTAGTAAGAAGCTTCCTATACATTTCTTTTCAGAGATATAGTAATGTCTGTCATTAAAAAGCAGCAACAACAACAAAACTTACCTTTGATAAAGTCTCAGTATATTCAATAACAATCATATGTAACATAGACCCTGTGAGCCCTGATGGCTTAGATAAACTTCATGCCTATGAAAGATAAAAATCTCAAACATTTGCAAGCAAATTTTATTTCTGAATTAAAACCTATGTTGTAGGCTGTGAATATGGGCAATTCATCAAATGTTCTGAAGTCATTGTCCATGAATCCTAAATCAAGGGCTTTATCCCTGTAAATATTTTTTTCCAAGGCCATCAAGCTTGTGTTTCTGGGTAAATAACATTTTTTTTCATTACTGAAAGCAAAGTGCTGAGTTTCATGTAGTTGTGAATGAATTAATAAGATTGTGGCCAGAATTTGAAGGCAAACAGTGGTACATCAAAAACATGTGGGATCTATTTTCAAGTGTCAGCCAGGACTAGAACATTTTAAAAATCTGTACTTGACGGCCTCTTCAGCAAACTAAAAGTGATTTGTTCTGCTGGTTTTCCCAGTATCAAAGCAAGCAGGAATCTTCAGATGTATTATTTTATGTTACGTTGTTTGGTTTGGTTTATAAAGGTGCTATTGTGCCATGGTGTGAAGAAAATTTTTTTTTAAATGAGTACCAGAGTAACTTGTTAACCATTTCCTGTATAGCTTTCTAAGACTTTTCACTGCATATTGACATTTATGTTGATGTGTATGGAGAAATGTCACTGAACATTTCATTGAGTTTTTCTCCTGTGTATCCCAAGGCAGAACTTTCTTAAAAGAAACACAAAAAATCAAATGTAACATATTAAATTTTATTTCTGCCTTTGAAGAAATATTTTAATTGGCTTATGTATTGTGGATTTGGCCATCAACTATTATAATGTATAGAATTAATTAAAAATAGGCTTAAATCAAATATATTAATGTAATTGTGAAAATTCCTATGAGGTACAGTATGCCTAATCTTTATTAAGAAATTTAAGACTGTTTCATCAAAGAAACTGAAGAAGTTTAGAAGTAAAAAAGATATATAGATGTTAGCTCTTCTGATTACCTTGGCTCAATGTTTTCATGCTTTTATCTTCAACAAAAACTGCCACCAGAAGAACACAGGCATAAGTCATATGATGCAGCAGAACTAGCTTTTAAAATAACTGCTTGATTACTGTTTAGAATATAGCATTAGACAATACATCATAGATGACTCCTGAAATCACTTTTTTGGTCACACATCAACATCTGTGGGAGGTACAAGTTTATTTTGATTTCTAAAAAGTGAATGTAATAACTGGATGTTTTCTTTTCATCTTTCATTTCTGAGAATACAAGGATACGGATTAGTGTCATGCATTTACAATTTCACATTGTGGGATGTACAGCTCTTACAGGTGAGGAATATACTTGAGAAATAGTCATGTATATAAAAATATTGTGATAGAATGATGCTCCCCCACCAAAGATGCCTAACATCCTAATTCCCAAAACTTGTGTTATGTTACATTCCATGGGAAAAGGGAAGTAAGGGTGCAGCTGCAGTTAAATGACCTTGAGGTAGAGAGTTTATCCTCTATTATCCAGGTGGGCCCAAACTAATCATATGCATCCTTAAAGGCAGAAGACCTTTTTCAGACATAGTCAGAGGGAGGCGTGACTACAGAAGATGGCCGGAGAGAGTCTATGGTGCTGAACTTGAAGATGGGGAAAAGGGCCACAAGCCAAGAAATTTCGGCAGCCTCTGAAAGCTGGAAAAGGAATAATAATAATAATTTTCTCTTCAGAGGCTTCTGTATAAATGCAGTCCTGCCCACCTTCATTTAGTTCAGTGAGACTCAAGTTCAACTCCTAACCACCAAAAGTATAAGATATAAATAAATGTGTGTTGTTTTAAACCACTAAGTTTGTGGCAGTTTGTTATAGCAGCAACAAGAAAACAAAATAAATATGAACAAGATTTAGCCTTTTCACCCTCCATCCAGAGACAAAACTCTCATAATTATATTTTTGAATTGATTTTGTGAGAATATACTCCTAAAAACAAAAGAAATAGATTTTGTTTGCAGCATACATTAAAGTACTCCAGAGAAATCAGAGAGCCAGTAGAAGATTAGATAAAGTAGATAGATAAATAGATTGATTTATTATGATAAATATTATTGATTTATTATTGATTTATTATAGATAAATAGATTGATTATTATTTATTAGGAAGGTCAAGCAGTCCCATGATCATTTCCCTACAAGCTGAACCAGGAAAGCTGGTGGTGCGAGTCAGCCTGAGTCTCAAGATTTGAGAACCAGGGGACCCAGTGGTATAATTCCCAGTCCAAGTTCCAGTGCTTGAGAACTGGGGGGCCACTAGTGTAAGTCCTAGAGTCCAAATGTCAGAGAACCAGGAGCTGCGATGTCCATTGCAGGAGGAGACAGATGTTCTAGCTCAAGAAGAGAGAATGAACTCACCCTTCCTCTATGTTTTTGTTCTATTTGGGCCTTCATTGGATTGGATGGTGTGTGCCTACGTTGCTGAGGGCCATCTTGTTTACTCAGCCTACTGATTTAAATGCTGATTTCTTCCAAAAACATCCTCGCTTCACAGACACATCCAGAATTAATGTTTCACCAGCTATCTGGGCATCCCTTAGCCAGTCAAGTTGACACACACAAAATCATCACACACAATAAACAGACTATAAAACACAGTTGATTTCCATGTTGACCTATTGAGGGAAGTTAGCCTTTATATTGAATTTTATTCAACATGTACAAGAAATGCTTAATTTTATTAGGCTAATATTATAACAACTGTAGAAATAAATATCTAATTGATCAAAAATGCCCTTTAGCAAAGTAAATTGGTCTTGAAGAATAGAGCAATCACATAAAAATAGAACTTAAAAATTCCAAGTAGGTTTGAAGTTGATCGATATAAGCATCACGCTCCTCCTCGTTATGCTGCTATATTTTGTGGAACACCTACCACAGATAAGCTGTCTGATTTAGGAGAAAAAAATTAATGTCATTCACCACCAACAGAAATGTGCTTATTCTTTCAAAATGATTATTGTTGCTGAAAGTACAAATGTATTGTATTCAGAGTTGCCATAACCACAGTAAGGAGTTATGTTGCATGATGAATGTGTTTTTTTATTAGAAAAACCAAGAAAAGGAAAGTTTGCCATAGCATTTCGCTGTGTAAATTAGAATCAGTCTTTCCATTGGGTCTGGAATGTCTGAAATACTTTTTTTCCTAATTTGAGTAATGTTTTGTGATCATAGGTTACTCTTACACACTATAGCCTTGGATAGAGGTGGTTCATTGTTGTCAAACCATAAAGCACACGAACAGTAATGGTACCCAGAAAAGAATAAATATTTCAGAGGTTTGTGAAAAATACAATAAGTACATTTTAGTTTGTTCGTGGTCTTTACTTATCCTAGACCTTTTACAACCAAAATGAGTCATGGGACTTTTAGAAGGAAATTGTCAGTGTTAGGTTTTGTGATGGTAATGCAGCAATCTCCACCTTCCATGATGCAGCCCATGCTTGGGTATGAGACTGTAAGGAGTCGAGTTTCATTCACCTACATGCCCAACCTTAGCCTGATTAGTAAATCCTCCACCCTGAGGAAGAAATGTTCATTGGTGGGTTCCCTACAGTGACCCCTGTGCTGCTAGGGAAGGGATCTCATCTGCATCCCACACCATCTCTGCCAGAGCATGACAGAATAAGCACAGCACAGGAACACAAGGAGGTGACCAAGCGGGAGGGCACCTTGGCAGACAGGCTACCTCATCAGTAGAGGAGACATTGGGGTCTTCAGCATCACTCAATCCTGTCTCTATTTGTGAGTGTACCTTGTCATCTTTGCTGCATTTGGGGCTGGCCCTGTCATTAGTATTTCCCCAACAGGACTTTGAAAGTCATAGGGATTTATATTTTCATTCTTAAGTACTATTTCCAATAAAAGACTTCTAGATTTCTTAGGGAACATGTGGTTGCTCTACTTTAAGTTGAAAACAGATATGTTTATTTAATGGTAGTCAGTAGAATTATTTCCTTTGAGGGGAGAGCCATAAACCTGAGTTGCTGAGAGTGATTCTTAAATGAAATTCACTTTGAGACTTGGCCAGAGCCTGTTCTGGCCATTGTAAACCACACACTAAACACATTTGCTTTTTTGCTGGTTTTAATATTGACAGAAACACTGACTGGGAATCGCTCTTCCTTAATGCAGTTGATCCTTCACTTTTTTGCAGAGGGGGCCCTGGGTGCTTAACGGAAGATAAACTGGAAGGATACTGAGTGGGGTCTGACCAGCAAAGCACTGTATGCAGTAAAGATTTCCACTGACAACATCCAAGATGGGCTGACATTCCTTGTGCCCAGTGGCCATAGGACTGGACCTTTCCATTGGATTACATGACATGGCCTTAGCAGAGTCCACAGTTGCCTTGATTGATGACAAAGTCAAGCAGACAAGCCAGCAGGTCATTTCAGCATGCAATGACCATCAGTATCCATTATTTGGACTATGTAATAATCTTTCAGGAACACTGTAAACAGTGGTATTAGACCTAAATAACTAATATGGTTTTAATAAACCTAAATTACTATTTAAACTTAAATAGCTTTTAGGTATTCTTGACATCACTTCTTGATGTCTGTCAGGTAATAAGTTCCCACGTAAGAATATAAAGCTAACGTATCCTCTTAAACCTTTGTTTCCAAAACCAAGAGCATTTTACTGAAACTCTAATATACAGGCAAGTTGATCCCTCATTAAGCCATGTGTTCATCTTAACAGATATGCACATATTTTTCTAATACAGAAACCAGTTTCCTAGACTAATTGAAGATCCTTGCATTGAAGGTAATAGAGTCTTATTATTTGCATTCAGTGTGAACTGTAAAATCCAAGTCATTAGAGAAAACAAGAATATGCTTCTCTTTCAAAAAACATCAAGCATGTTTTATATAGTCTTAGTTGCAAATTTCCATAGTTACTATGTAGTGAAGGTTTTCTGAAGGAGATGAGGATTCTTCAGAGCAAGGGTTCAGTTAACTGGCATCTGGAAAGAACCAACCTTAATTCTAAATCCTAACTGGATTTTCAGAGGCCATTCTGAGGGTAGTAGATTTTATCTATGACCTTGTGTGCCAGATGTTTCATTTTATGTTCTCCCTTATTTACCTGAAAGTGATGATGGGCAAGGGAGGCATATGAAATTAGCTGACTAATGATAACACGTGATCAACTACAGGCTTCATAGCTGAGATACCCCAAAGGGTTTAATTAGGATTTCCTGCCAATCTGAGATTTGGAAAGTGATTTGGGATAACAAAACAAACACATGGAAACAGAATGTGATTTAAAGAGACGACTCACTTAAGTCACCAGTCTCCAACAGAACAGAACCAATGTTGCATTATCCCAGAGTGAACTGAGTCACCTAACAGCCCAGAGGCCAGCACGCAATTAAAGCTTCTGAGGTGCTGTGATCTGAATGCTGGTGTCACCCCAGAATTCATATGTTGGAACCTAATACCCAATGTGATAATATTAAGAGGTAGAGCCTTTTGGGAAGTGATTAAGACATGAGAACTCCACTCTCATGAATGGGATTAGTGCTCTCATAACAGATGTTGAAGGGGCTGCCTTGTCTCTTCCACCATGTGAGGATACAGAGAGAAAGTACCATCCTGGAAGCACAGAATATGCCCTCACCAGACACAGAATCTCCTGGGGCCTTATTCTTAGATTCCCCAGGCTCCAGAACCATATTTTGTTATAGCAGCCCAAATGGACTAAACAGAAAACATAGACAATGTAGGGCAAGCGTAGGTCAGTGATAGAGAAGCTTTGAAGCAGGAAGGAAGAATGTGGGATGGACAGTGAGTGAGGCACATGTAGGGAATGGAGGTAGACAGCATCATCCAGGGTACATTACAAATCCCACCATCATATGTAATCTGCCATTGTTCAGTGTGAACAGTCACTGAGCATCAGAAGACCTTGATCCTATTCCCTTCTCTACTTTGGAGCAAGTTACAACATCATGGGCCTCAGTGTTCTCATCTACCAGATAAGAGGATCAGGCCCAGATAATTGTATCAGTTCTTATTCATTTTGTAAATATTTTATGCTATGCCCCAGTTTTTAAAAATAGAATATGTATTAGTCAGCCATTACTGCAATAATGCAGTGTAACAAATAGCCCCTGAATCTAAAAGCATCTCTCTCTCTTGCTCATGGGTGCTCCAGGTGGCTGGATATTGGCTATGCTCAACCGGTTTAGGTTGGACTTGCCTCCAGGTACCAGATTGGTCCAGATTGGCCCTACTTGATTCTCCTCTCCCTTATGCTAGTAAGTATGTGGGGTTTTCTCTTCTCAGGCAGATCACAGCAGTGTCAGAGACAAGCCAAGCCACACAAAAACATTTAAAACCTCTGTTCCAGACATTCTGCTATCACGACCTTGGCTGCCAGTTACATGTCGGACTCCAAAGTCAACAGCCCTGACAAGTGTACACCTCATACCCTCAGGGAATGGCAAACAGTGGGAAAAATGATAGATTGGCCACAATCTAGTATCCTGAGTCTCCAGTTTTAGTTATGAATCCTCTCTTGAACATGTTTTAGAATATTTCAAAGTTGAGAAAGGAAAGTAGCCCCTATTAATGCTGGAAAGACAAGGAGGGAAAGAAAAGTAAAAGCAGCAGTTTTTCCTCTATTATTGCACCTTATTCCTTGTCTTAAGGAAATCCCCATTTTGCACAAGATTAGGTTATTTAAGTGTTTTTCTTCACTTACTTTCTTCTAAATTATTGGTGAAAATACTAAGTTCACAGCCAGAAAGCTTGACATAAATGCCTGTTTGTCAACTTTGTAAAGTGGATAGGAATACAAATATGATGTAGAGCTGCTGTAAATCTGGTAGAATAATTAAAACTTTAAAATATTTCATTTCATGTCACTTGTAATCACTACAACTGTAGGAATGATGTAAAGCAGAGAAAATAGGACCCATCTTACATCTGCTAGTGTTTGTTATGAGGACATTACCTTTCCTTTACTTTTTTAAAAATTTCACCAGTGAAATTATATTGACCAAATGAAAACTCATAGATTACTAATGTGAATTTACTATTTAAAAATAATGTTGAACTCATATTGGACATAACAAGTGATGATATAAACCTAGATTTTATTTTGATCATGAAATAACCTAGTCATGAGGAGTAGGACTGTGGAAACCTGGCTTCCCCAGCAGGAACACAGACGGGAACACAGACCACCATGAATGGAATCCTGTAATCCATCTGCAGCTTCAACTCTTTAACTCACAATGAAGCCATATGAACATTCTCTTTAATTAAGAGATGTTACAGTTTTGTGAGATACAAAATACTACCGAAATAAAGAAGGATTTCAACGTCTTTATTGACACTCTACTGCAGCATAAATGGATCTACCAAGTAGGGTACATTATGCAGATACATGCCCATAGCAATACAAATGTTAATTAAAACCTTGTTTAAGATTTCTATTTTGGAATGAGTTAGCATTTCATGCTGGTAAAAGAAATTGATTAAGCGAATTACATAAATTAGCCAATACTCAGAAGATCCACATAGCCTTCCTGTCACTAATATAGATTTTTATCAACACGATATG
This sequence comes from Homo sapiens, assembly GCF_000001405.40. NCBI lineage: Eukaryota > Metazoa > Chordata > Mammalia > Primates > Hominidae > Homo > Homo sapiens. Next base: position 582,749 of record NW_025791814.1, on the reverse strand, counting down.
ATCCACAGGTGTGAGAGCAAACATAACAAAGGAAATAACTAAGAAATCTGTAGTGGTGATTTCTGCATCTCGGGAACTTATCATCTAATACTTTATAACAAGAACAGTTATACTCTCTCCTCTGCTATTTTGTATGCTTTTGTTTCATGTCCATCCACACATGCATACACATGAACACATGTACCGGGGAAGAGAGACAAGGTTCACAGATGTATCCTGTATTATTTCCTTCATTAAGGGGGCATGTTCCAGTTGGAGAGTCTAAACATTAATAAAAAATTAACTCGGCCAGGCATGGTGGCTCACGTCTGTAATCCCAGCACTTTGGGAGGCCGAGGCGGGCAGATCATGAGGTCAGGAGTTCGGGACCAGCCCGGCCAATATGGTGAAACCCCGTCTTTACTGAAAATACAAAAATTTGCCGAGCGTGATGGTGTGCTCCCAGCTATTCAGGAGGCTGAGGCAGAAGAACTTCTTGAACCTGGGAGGCAGAGGTTGCAGTGAGCCGAGATCGTGCCACTGCACTCCGGCCTGGGTGACAGAGCGAGACCCAATCTCACCAAAAAAAAAAAAAAAAACAAAAAAAAAATTAGGGGTCTTAATTTGTATCATATTCTTTTTATAAATTATTGAATACATTGGTAGTACATGTTTATTATTAAAAGGTAGCAGATACCTTTTAAATATAAAAAAATTAAATTTAAAAATATTTAAATTTAAAAAACTAGTAAATTTTAAAAAATAAAATCACTCTGATGTCACCATGCTAAGATGGATACTGTGACCATTTTGACCTCAACATCCAGACTTCTCTCTACACATATGCATGTAAATGTATATATAAGTTATATACACAGATATTTTACATATATAAACTTAAACAGGATTGTGCAGTGCCTAACATTTTATAATGTACTCTTTGATTCAACAATATATGATGAATTACTTTCTGTACTAAGAAACATTTTTAGGGAAACTCATTCTTTCAGCAAATATGCTCGGTTTCTTTCAATATACCCCCTTGGATGAAGTTGTAATTGTTTGGTTGTCTTCATAACCTCTACCCTCTGGATCTATAATCTAGAAGAGAAGATAAACATTAGTTAAGTAAACAAACAAGTGGATTTCTTACAAATAGTAAGAAATATTCTGAAAGCAAAATAAACAGTGTGCAATGAAAAAGAGCAGTGGAAGAATAGAAGCATGAGGAGGAAATGGAGATGAGTTGCCAACAAACTCAGAAATGATTCCATCATGGGGTCCCATGGCACAAGGATCCTGAGCAGAGGGCATTGGTCAGCGAGTAGATGGGAAAAGATGCATGCACAGAAGCCCAGTGAGCTAAGAAGGAACCAGAGAAATAAGTCTGGGGTTCATCCAGGGCTTGGTAGGGCAGGTCAAGGGTTTAAATTTTATCCTAAAGTTTGAGTATCTTTTAGACAAGAGAAGGAAATGATCTATGTTTGGAACCAGAAGTTCATTGATGATTTTGGCAAAAGGATGCTTAGAAGAAGTAGGAGAGAGGTAGCCAATTTGAAGGGTGAATGGTTTCATAAATTTATGGTGAGGGATCTGCCTTGTTAATCCTTCTCATATTGTGGAATATTTAGCATCTATTGTCTTTGGTACCAAAACAAAACTGAAGAGAATGATGGTAAATATCTATATCTTGGATAACTAAGTCACAATGAATAATCCTGCTTGTTAGAGGCACATGACAACTCACACATGGTCAACGCTCTATGCTTATTCGGCCTCCAGGGAGCTAGACCAAGGGAAAGACTTACAAGAAGACTACAGGATGGGGTTGAGGGGTGAATTTCAGGGGGCTAAATAAACAACAAGGCTCTGTCTTCTTGGGTCATGTCTTCCTTGGTCGGCTCTCAAGAAAGATGATCCTGGCACTTCCTCCTTCTTGGAACCTGGGCTCTAGGGTCTAGATCTGGTCTACTTGGCACTCAGAGACAGACACTCCCTTTTCCTTCATATTCTATGTGTTTGCCTCAGGGTTTACCATTTCTTGTCCACAGACTAGTAGAAACTGAAGATCCAACTGAGTAAGCTTGGGGTTGGGGGAAAGAAGGGCTGAATAGGTCCCATAGCCTGCATCCAGTGCAGACCCCAAACTTGCCTGAAGTCCATTAAGAGAGTGTCCTCAAAGCTCCAGGTGGTCCATTCTAATAACATTGATGATAACTGTATTAATAATAGGACTAGCTAATACACACTGTAAGTGCTGTTCAATTTACATATGTCAACTCATTCCATCCACTCAGCAACCTCATGTGGTATAGGTCCTGTCATATGGGGTAGCCCTGAGGCTACGTTGCTCAGTGTCACACACAGCCAAGACTCATGTCACACACAGCCAAGACTCAGACCTGGGCCTTTGGACTTCGGAGTCTTTAACATTTGTGATTACCCTTCTTCTATACTGTCTCTTTCCGTGTCTGTAAGTGCTGTTCAGTTTCCACATGTCAACTCATTCCATCCACTCAGCAACCTCATGTGGTATAGGTCCTGTCATATGGGGTAGCCCTGAGGCTACGTTGCTCAGTGTCACACACAGCCAAGACTCATGTCACACACAGCCAAGACTCAGACCTGGGCCTTTGGACTTCGGAGTCTTTAACATTTGTGATTACCCTTCTTCTATACTGTCTCTTTCCGTGTCTGTAAGTGCTGTTCAGTTTCCACATGTCAACTCATTCCATCCACTCAGCAACCTCATGTGGTATAGGTCCTGCCATATGGGGTAGCCCTGAGGCTGTGTTGCTCAGTGTCACACACAGCCAAGACTCAGGCCTGAGCCTTTGGACTTTGGAGCCTTTAACATTTGTGATTACCCTTCTTCTATACTGTCTCCTTCCATGTGTCTCTCTGGAGAACTGCCACTAGGTTGAACAATGAGTCAGATGTTCAAAGGGCTAGCATCATGGATGCTGATCACCCAAATGCTATCTCACCATGGCCACTGACATCATTAATGTGCAGATACATGTTCCTACAACTCATTCAGAAGACCCAGGTTGCTTTACAGTCACAAAATACTTTTTTGTAAATACTGTAAATTGTTGAGGACATTGATCCTCCCTGATTTGGACTGAGGCACAGAGCATTGGGAAGGGGTCCAGAAGGTGATATGGTTTGGCTATATTCACACCCAAATTTCATCTTGAATTCCCATGTGTTGTGGGAGGGACCTGGTGGGAGGTAATTTAATTATGGGGGCAGGTCTTTTCCATGCTGTTCTCGTGATCTTGTGATAGTGAATAAGTCTCATGAGATCTGATGGTTTTGTAAGGGGGTGTTTCCCTGCACAAGCTCTCTTTGCCTGCTGCCATCCATGTAAGACATGACTTGCTCCTCCTTGCCTGCCATCATAACTGTGAGGGCTCCCCAGCCACGTGGAACTGTGAGTAAATTAAATCTCTTTTTCTTCCCAGTCTTGAGTATGTCTTTATCAGCATTGTAAAAGCAGACTAATACAGAAGGAAGCATTGGGCTTTAGCATGGCTAGGCAGCTCCAATGTGTGCATGGGACTCAGATCTCAGCCACTTCTGTCTGAGGTTCCGAATACATGCTTCCTAAGTACTCAGTGCTGAATTCTTTCTGTTCAAACATCTGAAGTGTTGCTAGTCCTACCTTTATAGAACTATGTTTCACTTAAATCTGTTCTACCTTTAACTTGACTTTCTGACTTCACTCCAGTTCCACTGTATTAATAACTGAACAGTGGGATCCAGGCCTGATCTGCACTGGAATAACATTTTTGCACAGGGATCTTTTAAAAGTGATTTAAGTTCTGATTCTGTTTTGCCTGTGTATATGTTGTGGAACTAATATTAACTAATTTATTGAGTACTATTTGCAAGACCTATCATAGCTGTTTTGTGTCTAGTTTCTCCCTTAATCCTCACAACAGCTCCATGATACAGGAGGTAATATTAATATTCCCATTTTGGAAATGAGTAAGCTAGGACCCAGAGAGGTTCAGCAATTTGCCTAAATATGCACAGCTAATGGGTGGTAAACAGGGATGTTGCTTGCACCTATGACAATGGTGCAATAGAAAAGGGTACTTCTACTTTATGATACCTCACTTTCATCTGCTGAAAAATTATTGAAATATACTGGTTTTTTAAGAACATGCCACTCTATGGCTACCTTCCAGAAAAAAAAAATTGTAAAATTTATAAATCTAAGATGTCGATATTGGCAGTGTGCTTGGCATCCCCTAGAGTGTGTAGGGGTGAAATCTGTGAATCCAACTCCAGGAACCAAGCTCTCAGCATGTATGTTACAGTGCCTCGTGAGAGATGAAAGGTCTGCTGTTTTTCAAAAGGTGCCAGAAGACACCCTCATTTTGGAGAGCAAAAATAAATTATCTCAATCAGTCCTCATTCCTTATGTTGTTAGCATCAAAAGAAAGCTTTTTCTCGGGCCAACATGGTAGCTTTTACTCAGAGACACTGTGTGCCTATTACCAGCAATGATAGGTCCAACAACTAAATGTTGATGAGACCTTGGACCTTGAGGTTGGCCAAGGCCGTGCTATGATTGCAAGATTCAATTTGGTGCCATGGTTTGTGAGGCTTACAAAAGTGTATAATGTTCATTTGCTTTATGTCGGATTATTGCACTTTCTCATTTATTTAACTCCTTCACTTACCACTCATTCATTCATTCATCAACCCAATCATTGTTTGAAAGCCTACTGTATATCAGGAACTGTTCTAGACCTCCAAGATACCAAGATTAACATAACACATGATCGTTGCATCTATGGAGTTTATATTCTAGAATTGTTTTACTTTGGACAATATCACAAGCTCTATTTTATTGAGTGTGATCATTAAATTAGGATACCAGATCTTAGGGTTGAAAAGGGTCTCAAAAATTATCTCATCTCCTTCATTTTAAGCTCAATGACAAGTGGCATCCTCAAGGTCACACAGTCTATGGCAGAATACAGACTCGATGCTGTGTCCCCAGACTCCTGGTCCTGGGTCTGCTGCTACTGCCAGAAACTTCATTTTAATCAGGTGTTGGTGTCAGCATACACCTGGTGGCGAGCAAGAAGGCAGCTTCAAGGTCAATACAGGGTAGGACATAGGGTCAGACTGAGACCTGTGAGGCTATGAGATGAACATTGCTGCAAGCCAAATCTGAGAGCTTGGCCTCAAGGGCCTGACTGCCAGTGCCCCAGTTCTGGCTCTTCTTCTTTTTTTCTTTTGTTTTTTTGAGACTAAGTTTCACTCTTTTTGCCCAGGTTGGAGTGCAGTGGCAGGATCTCGGCTCACTGCAACCTCTGCCTCCCAGGTTCCAGTAATTCTCTGCCTCAGCCTCCCGAGTAGCTGGGATTACAGGTGCCCACCACCACGCCTGGCTAATTTTTGTATTTTTAGTAGTGACGGGGTCTCACCATGTGGGCCAGGCTGGTCTCGAACTCCCAACCTCGAGTGATCTGCCTGTCTTGGCCTCCCAAAGTGCAGGGATTACAGGTGTGAGCCACCACCCCTGGCTGGCTCTTCTTTTAAGGTCTGTGAACTTGAGTAAGTTATTTAACCTCTCTGTTCCTCAATGCCTCCCTTGCAAAATAGAGATAATCATAAAGCTGGTCTCACAGGGTTTTCACTAAGATTATGTAATTGCTCATGGGAATCTTCATACTTCTCCCATGGTTGGTGCTTGGTGAAGCTTGGCTATTGTTATTACTATTATTAGTAGTAGTATTGCCTCTGTGACTCTGTGGACACCTTGGTGGAGCCCCGAGCTTAGTTTCTTGAATCCCCCTTGTGATTCTTAGAGTGGCAATTCCCACAGCAAGTCTCCCCTTGCTTGAAAATGGTCCTGAATGTGACCCAAACAGTGAACATGTCACAGAGCCTGTCTACACCCCTTCTGAAGAAAGCCGCCTGTAGGTCATCCATCAAAATAATCATTTAATTTCACATTCCTGATTTTGATCCTTTTCAGGAATCCTGAAAGTGAATTCCTACCTTTTCAGCCAAATGTAATCTACTTCCTGTGTTTTCAGCCACCACATCTGATTATAGGTATGTGGCATATCTGCAGTAAGTGTAACACACTATTTCCCAAAAAGAGGCCATAACTCACATGCAGAACCAAATCCTTTTGGAAAACAGTATATGCCCTTCCCAGAAACCCAAAATTTACAATAACTTATTAAACACCCTGGAGGGTACTGAGGTAATAAAATCTAAATTCTATAAATTGATTGTTTCAGCAAGAAACAGGCTTCCAAGCTGGCTTCATGCATGCAGGAACTCTATCATCCCAAAAGACTGTGCTCTTAGAAGGACCCAGTGCTTGACTTAATGCGCTGCTGTTTTCGTCTTGAAATTCTTAACCATTTTTTAACGAGGGCGGCCTAGTTTCACTTGGCGAGTCCTTCAAGCTTTGTAGCTGTTCCTGACACCCCTCATCATATCCCACAGAACTGGTGTTCTGCCAAACAAGTCTCAGGTGAGACCCCTGTTGTCTGTTTTCTGTCATCTGGGTCAATAAGAGACAAACTCAGTGGAGAGTTAAGAATCTATCTTAATTGTTAAAAATATGCACCAGATTTCCTAATCTAAATGTATGTGCACACACCACTAGATGCCAGCATGAACCAGAGCTGCTGAATTCCTGTTCAGAGAGAATTCAGCTCAGCCTTGTTTTGAGAAGTTCTAGGTTCTTCCCCCAGAGGACTATGATGGGGCAACTTAAACCCGAAAATACTGTTCAAGTGTAATTTGTGTAAACTAACCATCTCAGGGGGAAATTTTTCCATATTAATCTTTGTGTAATTTCTGAATTATAAAACTATTTTTAGATGAAGAAATACATCACTACAATTGATACAGAGACACTTTAATTTAATTGGCACAAAAGTATGTTAAAAATATTCCACAGTACAGATGCTCCCTGACTTATGATGGGGTTATGTCCTGATAAACTCATCCTAAATTGAAAATATCTTAAGCTGAAAATGCATTTAATATGCCTAACATATTGAACATCATACTTAGCCTACCTCAAACACTCAGAATGCCCACATTAGCCTACAGTTGGGCAAAATCATCTAACAAGTCCGTCTTGTAAAATGTGTTGAATGTCTCATGGTTGTTTTTCTTGATTCCATGGCTGACTGGGAGCTGTGGCACCCTGCTGCTGCTCAGCATCATGAGAGGGTATCATATCACATATCGCTAGCCTGGGAAAAGATCAAAATTCAAAGTATGGTTTCTATTGAATGGGTATCACTTTTGCACCAGTGTAAAGTGCAAAAATCCTAAGTCAAACCATCGGACAGGAACTGTCTGTATAGGTAAAGGGATAGGCATAGAGATCAGTGAAACTGAATAGAGAACCCAGAAATAGACCCACACAAATATGCTCAGCTGATTTTTGACAAAGGTACAAAAGCAATTCAAAGGAGGGATGATAGTCTTGTTTCCATAAAACAGTACAAGAGCAATTGGATATGCATAGGCAAAGAAATGAACCTTCACCTAAATCTCATAGCTTTTTTTTTTTTTTGGTAGATACAGTTTTTAAATTTGTATTATTTATTAATTTTTAAACTTTCATTTTTAGGTTCAGGGGTACATGTTCAGGTTTGTTATAAAGGTAAACTTGTGTCACCAGGGTTTGACATAAAGATTATACAAAAATTCACTCAGAATGGATCCCAGGCTTAAATCTGAAATGTAAAACTATAAAATTTGTTGTTTTGTTTGCTGCATAATACCAACTAAATTAAACAAACATTAGAGAAGTTGAAAGAATGCAAGGATTTAATAAATCATCTAGCAACAAGGCTGCACTTTGAGCAGCTGCGGGCTCACAGGATTTTCCTTTAAGCCAAGAGGATTCCGCTTGGCAGCTGCGGGGCAAGGCCACTGGTGTGCCACGCCACCTCACACCGCAGCCACCAGACTTCAGAACTGGAAAAGGGTGATTCCGGGGTAATCTCTGCCACCTCCTGCCTAAGGAGAGATCTTGTCCGCTCCCTACCATTTGTCTATCACTGATCGATTCCATTATTGGAAAACTTTCTAGAGCACTTGTTGGGGACAATGTAGGTCTTTCAGGATAGGATGGCCTGTCTCAAAAGGTCATCCTAGGGCCATGTTCTTTCTTCGTTTCCTACTTGTCCCACTCAACAAACAAGGCTAATTGTGGCTACCTCTCAAGGCTGTGAGGAAATAATCATTCATAGCTGAAATGGGTCTTGTAGATATCAGTGATTGTACATTCTCCCCAATATCTGGATTTAGTGTCTAATCGGGTGTTTTTTTGTGACACATGTTGTATTGATAATGATCAATATAGGTTTATTGAGAATAACAAATAATTACACAAATTCAAAAATTATTTTCCTTCATTATACACAGGGCATATCAGGACTGCTTTTTGCAATTATAATTGAGGTGCTGCTGCATTATTTTGTTTAATTATTTCCACCTGATGGCCTGATTAGGAAAATTGCTCACCTTGTTTTCCTAGCATAATGCACCATTATGAGAAGCAATTACTGCAGCCTGTGTCCCCAGCCCCCAGGCTGAGCTACCATCCTACAGTGGCTACCATCCTGTAGTGTGCATGGTCTTGCCAGCGTCCAGATAGAGTTTGAGTTCAGCCATTTGATTCTAAGCCTAAATTCAAATAATCTGTTTTTCAAGAAAGGGTTTTGTTTAACTCTAAGACACTGGAAAGGTGATGTGTGATTTCTCATTTGCTGATGTTTGACGCCGTTGTTGGCGTCTCCGTGTTGGCATGAGCACACTGCTCTCTGCCTCCATGTTGTGTGTTCACACCTGCTCTGGCTGTACAAGCTGAAAGGGTTAAACGTATCCTGTCCTGGTGGACTTTGTGTGGCATTAATGTTTGAGAATAAGTGTGCTCTGCCACCACGTGATCATGTGTGTGTAAACATGATTAAAAGGAAAATGGTGATGACAAGGCTGGTAAGGAAAGTTGTGGAACTGCATTAGGACAGGCAGCCATGCGAGGGCCAGAATGAAATACCCAGTTTGGAAGAAGAAAGGCGGTCTAGATGCCCCTTGGAAGTCACTGGCCCTTCCCAGGTGAAACCATGTGGTGTGGACTCCAGCTGCCTCAGGTGACATCGCCCAACGCAGGTGATATTATCCACTTCAGATGACATCGTCCACTTCAGGTGAAATCACCTACCTCATGTAACATCATCTACCTCAGGTGACATTAACCAGCTCAGGTGATATCTTCTACCTCAGATGATGTCATCACCTCAGGTGACCTCATCCAACTCAGGTGACCTCATCCAACTCAGGTGACATCATCTACCTCAGGTGACATCATCCACTTCAGGTGATATCATCTACCTCAGGTGACATCCACCTCAGATGATGTCACCTATTTCAAGTGATGTCATCCACTTCAGGTGACATTGTGCAGTCTCTTGCTAGCCATTTCCCTAAACTGGAAGAGAGATAGAAAAAAATAAATCCTACCTCTGCCATCCGCCAACAGTGTGAACAAATCCAACTCTCTCCAAGCTTTTGTTTTCATTCCTTAATAATTGAATTATAGGAAAATCATCTTCAAAGAAAAATGCAGTCCCGTGCAGGGGTTGGAGATGGGGCCAGTCAAAGCAGAAGGAGCCCATATGAACAGGCAGATGTTATGCTTTCTGTGTTGGTCCCGTGCAGCTGGTGCCTGCCTGCTGCAGGTGCTCTTTTTTTTTTTTTTTTTTTTTAGACGGAGTCTTACTCTGTCACCCAAGCTGAGTGCAGTGGCATGATCTCAGCTCACTGCAGTCTCCACCTCCCGAGTTCAAGCAATTCTTCTGCCTCAGCCTCCCGCGTAGCTGGGACTACCTACCATGCCCGGCTAATTTTTTGTATTTTTAGTAGAGACAGGGTTTCACCGTGTTGGCCAGGATGGTCTCTATCTTCTGACCTCGTGATTCACCCACCTCAGCCTCTCAAAGTGCTGGGATTACAGGCGTGAGCTACCATGCCCGGCTCATTTTGACAGGTATATTAATGAATGAAGAAGAAATGTGACTGATTTTTTTTGTATCTGTAAATTGCTTATAATTTGAAACAGATAGAAAATGGTTACAACAGAAATGTTGGCTTTCACAGCTGGGAAAGAAGAACAAACGAGAAGCGATGGGTCAACCTGGTTAAGAGAGTAGGTTTCAGGCTCAGACTTCCCCAGGTGCAAACCCAGCTCAGCTACCGTGGAACCTGGGCACATGACTTCACCCTCTGGGCCTCAGTTTCCTCACCTGTATGACAGAGATTATCTCACCTAAGCCATATAATTGCTTTGAGATTTAGTAAGTTGATGCATGTCAAAATGAAGGGCACTGACTACTTTTTTCCTTTACTATATCTATTCATAGCTCATCTTCTGGCTTCGTTGATGAAAAGGGGCATCTATTTTAGGGCAAGATAATTAGCTGTGTCCTATATGATAGGCTGAATAATGCCCCATTCACCAAAGATGTTGAATCCGAAGCACTAGGAACCTGTGAATGTTACTTTACGTGGGAAAAAGGACTTTATAGATGTGATTAAATTGAGGATCTTTGGAAGTGGGGAGGATATCCTAGAGTGTTTGAGTGGCATCTAAAGGTAACCCCAAGGGTCCTCATAAGACAGAGGCTGGAGGGCCGAAGTGGGAGGTGGTGGTGTGAGGAAGGAAGTGGAGATCTGAGTGATGGCCAGGAGCTGAGAAACACCGCAGCCTCTGGAAGGTGGAAGAGGCAAGGAACAGATTCTCCACTGAAGCCTCTGGAAAAAACAGCCTTGCCAACACCTTGATTTTAGCCTTTTGACTATCAGAAGAAGAAGATATTTATTTATTTATTTATATATTTATTTTTTATTATTATTTTTGAGGCAGAGTCTCATGCTGTTGCCCGGACTGAAGTGCAATGGCACGATCTCGGCTCACTGCAACCTCCTGGGTTCAAGCAATTCTCCTGCCTCAGCCTCCCAAGTAGCTGAAATTACAGGCACCCACCACCATGCCTAGCGAATTTTTTTGTATTTTTTAATAGAGCCGGGGTTTCACTATGTTGGCCAGGCTAGTCTCAAACTCCTGACCTCAGGTGACCTGCCCGCCTTGGCCTCCCAAAGTGCTGGGACTACAGGCATAAGCCACCACACCTGGCCAGAAGAATACATTTATAAGAGAATCAGTTTCTATTGCTTTAAGCCACTAAGTTGGTGGCAATCCATTACAATAGCCACAAGAAACTAGTACGGTTGACTCTAGAAAAATGCAGCAGTTGGGGTACTGACTGCTCAGGCAGCCAGAAATCTGCATATAACATTTTACTCCCCAAAACTTCAATATAGTAGCCTACTGCTGACTGGAAGCCTTACTGATAAACAGTTGATTGACATATTTTTTGCATTATATATTTTAGATACTGTCCTCTTACAATAATCTTGAGAAATGAACACATTATTCAGAAAATCATAAGGAATAAAAAAATATGCTTACTATTCATTAGGTGGAAGTGGATCATCATAAAGGTCTTCGTCTTCATCATCTTCACATTGAGTAGGCTGAGGAGTCATAAAGGTCTCCGTCTTCATCGTCTTCACATTGAGTAGGCTGAGGAGTCATAAAGGTCTTTGTCCTCATCGTCTTCACATTGAGTAGTTCATTAGGTGGAAGTGGATCATCATAAAGGTCTTTGTCCTTGTTTTCACATTGAGTAGGCTGAGGTGTCATAAAGGTCTTTGTCCTCATTGTCTTCATATTGAATAGGCTGAGGAGGAGGAAGGGGGAGAAGGATTCATCTCAGGAGGGGCAGAGGCAGAAGAAAATTTGTGTATCAGTGAAACTGCAGAAACTTGGGTTGTTCAGGGGCCAGTTGTACACCCCATTACATGAGATTTCAATTAGTTTAGATGGAAGTTTTTCTGAAAATCTTTGCATAACATCAGCCCTTTTAAATGAGAGATAATGAAGATGTGGCAGGATAACTATTTTTGTTCTATTTATCTTCGCAGAGATTCTGTATAACATAGAGATGCTCCATATTCTCAGACTGCTTTGCTTTTCGAATTGCTGGTTTTCATTTGTAAGATTTTGCAGTTGTTTTTCTCCCTCTCCAGCTGTCTCAGTAGCGGCTTCTCTCTCACTGCTGCCTCCACCCTTACCACCTTCTAGTTGTACAGCTAGAGAAGAAGAATGCCGGTAAAGATGTGTGAAGCACGTGCTGTGTGTTCTGCCTCAAGTGCGTCGCACACGGTATCTCATTTGACTTTCCCAAAACCTCTGTTTACAGATTGTGACAATGAGGCCCAAAGAGGCGAAGCCGGCAGTAAAGCTACACAGGAGGAAGATAGACAGGAGTCCAGCGGTAGAGCCAGGGCCCTGAAAACCACTCTTCACTGTTGTATTAATTGGGGTTCTCTAGAGGACAGAACTAATAGGATAGATATGTGTGTATATATATAGGGGAGTTTATTACGTATTAACTTACACAATCATAGGATCTCACAAGAGGCTGTCTGCAAGCTGAGGAGCAAGGAGAGCCAGTTCGAGTCCCAAAACTGAAGAGCTTGGAGTCTAATGTTCGAGAGCAGGAAGCATCCAGCCAGGGAGAAAGATGTAAGCTGAGAGGCTAGGCCAGTCCTTGTTTTCATGTTTTTCTGCCTGCTTAATATTTGCTGGCAGCTGATTAGATTGTGCCCAACAAATTAAGGGTGGGTCTGCCTTCCGCAGCCCACTGCCTCAAATGTTAATCTCCTTTGTCAACACCCTCACAGACACACCCAGGATCAATACTTTGTATCCTTCAATCCAATCAAGTTGACACTCAGTATTAACCATCACAGCTGTCTCTACATCAACTTGTAGAAAACATTGTGTTGCTAAAACTGTACCTAAAATAGCACTGAGCTAGGCTGTGAGTGAAGGTATGAAGATTAATTCTCCATCAAATGCAATGTGCAGAGTGCTGGATTTTAGCAAGAGGTGACAAGCAGCGACCAGCCCCCTCTATGTGTGTGAGGGTACTCTTCAGATTACTGGATATTAGGAAAAATTATTTTTTGTTCATTTGTATTTTACACAAGGTCTTAATGACTTTTAATAGAGTTGCTCTGAAGGCTCTTTTCTTGGTCATTTTTAAGGAGATATTAGTAACTTTAATTCCTATGACCCAAAATTGCATTAAGGAAAGAGGTCATGTCTTATTATATTTTGCATCTCACCATCTGGAATAGCGCCCAGCATAGAAAAAATCCAGAAAGTGTTTATCAAATAAGTAAAATAAGTAACATATTCTGGAGTACTTAATAATAGCCAGCACTTAATGAGTACTTACTGTGTGCCAGGCAGTAAGCCAGGTGCTGTTTGTTTGTATTAACTCATTTAATTCTCTACTGACATTATAAGGACCTGAAGTACAAGGGCGTTTAACAACTTTCCAAACTACAAGTGGCAGCCCTGAGCTGGGAGCCCAGGCTATCTGGGTCCACAGTTCACACTTTAAAACTTGATGCAGGCTGGGCTTGGTGGCTCATGCCTGTAATCCCAGCACGTTGGGAGGCTGAGGCAGGTGGATCACCTGAGGTCAGGAGTTTGAGACCAGCCTGACCAACATGGAGAAACTCCATCTCTACTAAAAATACAAAAAATTAGCCAGGCGTGGTGGTGCATGCCTATAACCCCAGCTACTCGGGAGGCTGAGGCAGGAGAATTGCTTGAACTCGGGAGACAGAGGTTGCAGTGAGCCGAGATCACGCCACTGTACTCCAGCCTGGGCAACAAGAGTGAAACTCTGTCTCCAAAAAAAAAAAAGCACAAAAAACTTGATACAATACTGCCTCTCTAAAGTCCATAAATGTAACATTTAAAATTATATTTTGCAAAAGACATTTTGCAAAAAATTGGAAATCTGCAGTTGTGTTTGCAATGAAAAACATTATTATATTTTGTTGGTGCCATATAATAACATTGAAAATTTGGATACAACTTTAAGCACCATGGGAGAGCAAAGATTATGTCTTGTTGCCAGTTCATCTCCCTTGCCTAGCAAGCTCAGAGCCTCCTATACAGTATGTACTCAGTAGCCATGTGGGGGCTGTCAAAAGTGCCATGCTGCAAGGGGTTACAGTGATGCTTGAAAAAGTACCTAAAATGCAAAGTTTTCATACACTAATGCAACTTTCATTATATTTTATATTCCTAAATGAAAGGAGTCACATGAAATGGTGTGTGTGTGTGTGTGTGTGTGTATTAGGTCGCTGTATGATAAAGGAAGTAGAACGATATCATGTCAGTGGTCAGCTGGGACACAACATGCCTATGCCCAGGGCAGCGGCCAGCTGAAACACACAGCCCCACGACACTAAATATGGATATTTGCTCTAGAGGGAATTAGTAAATTTGCATATCCTGTTTGGAGATAGTTCTGCCTTCTCGTTTAGTTTTTGCTTGTCTTAGACTCTATAAAAGACTCATAACTGCAGTTCAACAATTGATAATAAAATAGTATTTGCAGCAGTGTGTGGTGGCTCACACCTGTAATCCCAGCACTTTTGGAGGCTGAGGCGGGTGGATTACCTGAGGTTGGGAGTTCGAGACCAGCCTGACCAACATGGAGAAACCCCATCTCTACTGAAAACACAACATTAGCTGGGCATGGTGGTGCATGCCTGTAATCCCAGTTACTCTGGAGGCTGAGGCAGGAGAATTGCTTGGACCCGGGAGGCAGAGGTTGCAGTGAGACGAGATTGCACCATTGCCCTCCAGCCTGGACACCAAGAGCAAAACTCCATCACACACACACACACACACACACACACACACACACACACACACACACACACACACAAAGTATTTGCCCTCATGGTCACACAGTTGAGGCCAGCGCCTTTGTTGGGAGAATGAAGAGTAAGTAAATCTCAGGTAAAATATTAGGGTTAAGACAGATGAGCTTTGGTGTTGAACATGCCAAGCCTAAATTTCAGAAACTTAAAGGCAGATTCCCCTTCATAGTAGATCAGACTGGACCTGGACTGTGAGGACAGACAAGAAAGATGGAGCTCTCCCAGAGCGAAGATGATACAGTGTAGCACAAAGTATAATGGGTCAAGGTCTGGAAGAATTTAGGATCAAAATTCAGCTGATTAATCAGTATCATTTGGGAAATTCCCTTTAAAAAAATGGGGCTTTCTGCCTCAGTGCTGATATTCATCCAGAACACAATACTTAACTGACCTCAACTGGATGACATCTTCAATCAAAGCTCACAGGAAGACATAGCAGCACCAGGCCACATGCGGCAGGCAGCCGTGAGCATAGCCTCCCTAGCTTGTGTCTGGTTTGGTTTGATGCATCAGGATGAGAATCTGCAGCATTCTTCCAATGACAAAGCCAATGGGGCAGCTTATCCTCTCCCTAACTCTTTCCCTGTGTTTACTGTGCTGTAGAGATTTTGCATAAAGTGCTGCAAAGTGGGTAGCAATAAGGGAGCTGAGGTTTCATTCACAGAGGGAAGGCCAGGGATTCTGAATGTTGACTGCAGGTGGGCATTGTGTTTGGCAAATCTCTTCTACTTGAGGTCTGACCTTAGCCTTCTAGACTCTGAAAAACGATCCTGATACTGACCCAGATTGGAGGGGGTTTGGTAATTCTGGTTCATGGTAACAAAGCTCCCATTAACCTATTGAACAATTGAGTTTGTCAGTATATGAATGGCCCATGCCCAGGGCCATGGTCAGCTGGGACACATGGGTTCATGCCGAGGGCCATGGTCAGCTGGGATACACGGGTTCATGCCCAGGACAGTGATCAGCTGGGACACACGGGTTCATGCCCAGGACAGTGATCAGCTAGGACAGACAGCCCCATTCCAATGACAGTGGTCTGGTCAGCTGGGACAGACAGGTCCATGACCAGAGCAGCAGTCAGCTGGGCCACCTAGGCCCCTCTCCTGTATGCCCTGCTCGCTGTCTTCAAGGCTCATTGCAGAGAGTGCTGTGGCCAGAAGGTTGCTTGGTGAGCCTGGAATCAGAACACTCAAGCTTCTGGTATCTCAGACGGCTGACAGCATCAGGTCCCGGGGCTGACACCTAGGGAGCTGCTTATTATACCCCCTGTAATAAGTATTCCCACAAATAGGGATAGTACCCTTGCACACTAGATTTTTTTTTCAAAGTGTTAGCCAAGTACCAATGAAGAAAGAGCAAATGTGAGCCAAGATGACGGTTTGGGCTTGACTGAGGAGAATGACTGTGGACATTGTCCTGTGTGTGCTGCTCCAACCCCCCAGCCCAAATGACACCATTCCCATTGTCATGTTTGCTGTGGTCACTAGCTGGTGCTCCTAGGAAGCACACAACAAAGCTTGCTGGGCCTCTTTCCTAGGCTCCAGCCCTTTGAGTTATGCCTCTGGGAAAGTATCTTGTACTTTTCTTCATCTCTCATGTCATAGTACTCTCTAGAACACTTATCTTTTATGACATTGACATCTAAAAACAAAATAAATAGTGAAATGTGGCCTTTGACAACTTTAATATTGCCATTTACATTATGAACCTTTAACAATTTAGAATGTATAACGAGATGACAAATTTCCTATTTCTGAAAGTAGTCACAGATGCATAGTAGTATAGACACATAGATGCCGTGAACTGTTCCCACAGCAGGCAACGTCCACTCGTGAAAATGCCCATAGACCACCTCGCCAAATTACTGAATGGCCAATGAAAGGACAAATGGAGAGAAAAGGAAGCAGCACAGGTTTTCCAACAAACTGTCCATGGATCTTGTAAAGTGACAACATTTGTGACCATTGTAGGCAGACCCATCTATGCAGCTTCTGTTAACTGTGACAGCAGTCAGGCTAGTTTAGGAAGTCTGCCTCCTGCTTAGCTAGCCCCAGGGCACAAGCCCCTGACAATTGTGCCTGGCTTTGCTGGATACAGTCCAGAGTCGGTCTTTTCTTCCAGTGCTACCAATGGAGTAGTATGGGGCCAGCCACACCCTCTGACCCCAATCCATGTGTGTTCACAGGTGCAAATTTAACAATCAAACATGAGATTTGGAGAAGCTCTTGATTGACCAGCAAGCAAAGTGAAATTTACTGAAAAGTTTAGCTTCATTGTCCTTTATTCTGCCCCCTACAAAAGGATATTATATATAGATAGATATCCATATATACATAGTTTATTCATGTTCACATATATAACATATATAGTTAACATGTGTATGTTTATATATGTTTATGGATACACATGCATGTGTGTGTGTATATACATGCTGAAGGTGGATTAGAAACTATAAGATTGGAAGTAAATATATTCTTTAGAATTATACTAAAACAGAAAAAAAGCTGTATTTTTGTTTTTAAGTTTATGAAATGAACAAGGAAGAGTTTTTTTTTTTTTTTTTTTTTGGACACCGAGTTTCGCTCTTTGTTGCTCAGGCTGGAGTTCAAGCGATTCTCCTGTATCAGCCTCCTGAACAACTGGGATTACAGGCACCCGCCACCACGCCCAGCTAATTTTTGTATGTTTTTTTTTTTAGGGGGGGGTAAAAAAATTCTTATTTATCTATTTATTATTATACTTTAAGTTCTAAGGTACATGTACACAACGTGCAGGTTTGTTACATATGTATACATGCGCCAGGTTGGTGTGCTGCACCCGTTAACTCGTCAACCAAACACCGCATGTTCTCACTCATAATTTTTGTTATTTTTAGTAGAGACGGGGTTTCACCATGTTGGCCAGGCTGGTCTTGAACTCCTGACCTCAGGTGATCCACCCACCTTGGCATCCCAAAGTGCTGGGATTACAGGCATGAGCCACCATGCCTGGCCGGGAAGAGAATTTTAATCTCAGCTACATCATTATCTTTTTTGATCCCAGCATTCCTTTATGTAACCCAAACCTTGGTTCTGTTTTGGAGTTGTAGCCTCAATAACTGTAAGAGATTAAACTTCTGTTGTGATAATTTTTGTTTGTTTTTTGAGATGGAGTTTCACTCTTGTCACAGAGAGTGCAGTGGTGCAATCTTGGCTCTCTGCAACCTCCACCCCCCAGGTTCAAGCAATCCTTGTGCCTCAGCCTCCAGAATAGCTGGGATTACAGGCACCCATCCCCATGCCCAGCTAATTTTTTTGTATTTTTAATAGAGATGAGGAGATTCACCATGTTGGCCAAGCTGGTCTCAAACTCCTGAACTTAAGTGATCTGCCCACCTTGTCCTCCCAAAGTGCTGGGATTACATGTGCGACTGGCCTGTTGTGATAATTTTTTGTGGAAACCCCCAGGAAACTCACACAGCTTATTTAGATTAAAGATAAGAAAGCTATTTCCAGAATATAATCTATTCCCAGAATGTCATGTCCTCAGGCATATCGTTGTTGAACCTTTGATTATATTCTGGAAATAGATTTTTTATCTTTAATCTGAAGTAAATTGTGTGAGCTTCCTGGGGATTCCATAACATATGACCACAATAGAAGCTGATTCTCTCACAGTTCTGGAGCTTACACCTCCAAAATTCAGGTGTCTGCAGGGCCATGTTCTCCCTGACAGTTCTGGAGAGGTCCTTGCTCACCTCCTGCGGCACCTGGCGCTGGCTGGCAAGCCTTGCTCTTGTTGGTTTGTATTATAGACATCACGCCAGTCACACGGCTGGCTTCTTCCAGTGTTTTTACCTCATGTTCCCTCTATGGGTGTCAGTGTCTGTCTCCATATTTCTCCAT
Organism: Homo sapiens; assembly: GCF_000001405.40. Lineage (NCBI taxonomy): Eukaryota > Metazoa > Chordata > Mammalia > Primates > Hominidae > Homo > Homo sapiens. The sequence continues at coordinate 564,006 of NW_025791814.1, read as the reverse complement.
TCTATAAGGACACCACTTATATTGAACTGGCACCCATCCTAATGGCCTCATTTAAATTTGATTATCACTATAAAGACCTTATTTCCAAGTAAAGCCATGTTTTGAGATACTGCAGGTTAGGGGTCTGCCATGAATTTTGGGGGGACGCAATTTATCCCATGACTTCTAAATTAGAAAATAAAAGAAATCTGTTTTAAAAGGTACGTCATGCTGCTAGGCTATCTGCAAATTAACAGTGTTCCAAATCTTGGTATTGATGTTTGCAAAATTTAAAAATAGGACAATTCAAATTTTACCTTCCTGTTTTTAGAAATCATATTTTTATATTAGCTTATTTATTAAAGTGGAAAACCGATATTAGCTATATATAAAAAGAGAAAGGATAATAGGAAAGTGAGGAAATATAAAATTTTGTTTGTAATATTTCTCTAAATGTTTATCCAGCATCTCCCTCTTCCCCACACCCCTCACAGCCTCCGCTCTTGGATTTCTGCCCATTAAGACTGATAGCAGGAACATCTATGAAATGCCATTCATAATTAATTTTGTTACATCACTGATCATGGCCCACATGTGTTACTGGTGGATGGTATCTGAGTTACCGGCAGCGAATCCATATGGCTCTATAGCAACACCAATTCTTGCCTCCTCAGAGGAAAGAATTCGACCAAGGGGTATAAGGCACAAAAAGAGACTGAGGCAAGTTTCAGAGCAGGAGTGGAAGTTTATTTTAGACAGCTTTAGAACAGGAAAGAAAGGGAAGTACACTTGGAAGAGACTGAAGCAGGCAACTTGAAGGACAAGTGCAATCTTTAACCTTGATCCTAGGACTTTGTAGGCTGGCCCACTTCAGGTGTCTTGCACCCCTTTCCCATGACTCTTCGCTTAGGACGAGCTTCCCGCATGCGCAGTGCCCTCCTTCCCCTTGGGAGGTGAGCATGCGCAGTGTGTTTAGGAAGTTGTAACACCGTTTACATACATGTTCTCAATCTCTCTCTCTCTCGTTGTGGATAATGAGTCAGTTAAAAATTAGTAACTGTCCTTGTTAATGAAAACCTACCTACATTAATACAATACTTCTGTTCAAAATATTCATCGTGACTCAAAATTTTGGGAATGAATATATTTGCTGTTAAAATGCTTCTAGATGCTCGCATATGCCACTGCCTGGCAAAGTCAGAAGAGGGTACATAAATTACCCAGGCGATACCTTCTATGCCCTCTGGACTTTTATGCCTTGTTAGTGTCTAAGGTTACAGAAAAAAGAAATGGAACACTCGGGTTGCCAGGGAGACATCCAAGCCTGTCAACCCCTCTAGCTCTAATAGTGACAAATGGTACTTATTACATCAGGACTAATTTCATTGGATTCTGCTCAGATAAAGATACTTAACCTTTACTGATAAAATTGTGTCGTTATAATTACTTAGTAAAAGACCTTATTAGGCAATAGTATTCTATGTGGATAGACGAACATTTTATTGAGGTTGATTACCTATTACATTGATGGAATATTTGAATGTATGATTTTCTGCAAGACCTTTACTTCTTGGAAAAACCTGCAGCAAAGAGATTTTGGTTTTGTGGCTGCCTCATATGGAGGAAGTTTAAAAATGTGGTTTTTGCAAGTTGTTATTGAAAATCCAGAAAAACAACATATACATTTTTTAAAAAATAGACTTTACATGTCAACTTTTTTGTTGTTGTTATTGAGACGGAGTCTCACTCTATCACCCAGGCTGGAGGGCAGTGGCGCGATCTTGGCTCACTGCAACCTCCGCCTCCTGAATTCAAGCAATTCTCCTGCCTCAGCCTCCTGAGTAGCTGGAATTATAGGCATGCACCACCATGACCGGCTAATTTTTGTATATATATATTTTTTTTTAGTAGAGATGGAGTTTCACTATGTTGGCCAATTTGGTCTCAAACTCCTGACCTCAAGTGATCTGCTCACCTCCGCCTCCCACAGTGCTGGGGTTATAGGAGTGAGCCACTGTGCTCGGCCACCAACTTTTAAAACAAAGCTTTCTATCCAGGCACATAAAATTAAAATATCCAAATATGTCAACGAACCTTTTAGACTTTTAGGGTATATGCCCTCGAAGGCCAAGACTGGAAATAAATTACATTTTGAATGTCAGTTCCATCTGACTGGTAGTGACTGCCTGGAATGCAGAACTGAGAAGGATTCTGAAGTCTTATCTGTGCTCACTAGAAAAGAGTGTAGTAATTGATTAGCAATGTCTGCCATGGGCATGAGCAGGACATGCATCAGTGGATATGCTCATAATTGCCATCCCTTGTCTAAGTTTATAGAAAGATAGCAGTTGTGTCAATGAGGCATTCAGTTTAAAAGAGCCTTTTCTGTCTCCTCCATATGCATTACATGCTCAGAGCCTCCTCATTCTCAGTTTGTCTTAGGCAGGGAAACCACAGCCCTATAGGACATTTCTCAAGGTTGGCTCTGTAGACCTCTTCTAAGCACCCTCCCCTGCAGGGCACCTGGGAAAAGAAATGTCCTCTCCCAAGGAGCTATTTGTTTCAACACTGTCAGAGAGAAAGTCATGGAGATATTTGTCTTAAAATCCAAGTACTTTTTGTTTCCTTTGTCCATTTTGGTTTCCGCCTCTCAGGTGTTAATTCTGCTAAAATGGTGATTGATAATACTGTTGTTTATCTCTCCTGAGAGCCAAAGATATGCCCCTTGATGGCGGAAATTCAAAGACTGTGAGAGGCAGTAAAAGAAAGGCTCTGGGACAGGGTTATTTTTCAACATACACCTCAAAACACACAGCGCTGGCAGCTCCTATGAGAGCACATGTATTTGATATCCAAATTTTTCTAGCCTAGTGTCCCACACCAATCCCACAAGCACAAATGTAATTCTTCAAAAAGGAGCATGCTAAGAAGTGCCCTGAAGTTTGCAGAATGAACTCATGCAGCACTTTCTGAGCAGGCTGGGTTCCCCTTGCCTATGACTATGCTTACCGAAGGTCAGGCTTCCCTTTGACAAGACAGGACAGGTACTGTATGCTTAGTTTCTCTCCTCTGTCTCACCAGTTTCGGAGGCGTGTTCAGGTTCTAACGTCAGGGGTGAGGTGAATCCAGGTGAGGAATGGTGGAGTGAAGGATGCAGTGATGGGCCTGAGCTGCAGGCAGTGGTGATACCAGCTCCTCTCCATGGCTCTCAAGTCTTGAACACACATCAATTCCTCTGTCTTTCTTCATGGCTGAAACAATTGTCAGGTTAACATATTATGGTAAATATAGGTGAGAAGGTGACACTTTTAAGACTATGCCTGAGGCTGTTGCTCCCAGGCACTCTCCTTATTAAGCTTCTATATTAGTTTAATATTAGTTTAGTATGCTGGGTCTGCCATCACAAAGCACACACAGTGAGTGGCTTACAGCGAAAGAAATGCATCATCTCCCAGTTTTGGAGGCTGGAAGTCTGAGATCAAGGTATCAGCAGGGTTCTTCCTTCTGAGGACTCTGAGAGAGAATCTGTTCCATTCCTTGATCGTAGCTTCTGGTCGTTTGCTGGTAATCTTTGGCATTTTGTTGGCTTGTAGAAACATCATCTGATATCTGCCTTCAGGGTCACATGGCATTCTTGTATGTCCGTTTGTGTCCAAATTCCCCCTTTGTATAAAGATACCAGGCATATTGGATTAGTGCTCACTCTAATGACCTCATTCAGCTAATTTCATCTGCAAGGACAGTATTCTCAAATAAGTTCACATTCTGAGATACTGGTGGTAGGACATGAACATACAAATTTTGGGGAAACAGAATTCAACCCATAACACCATAGATACTTGGTTCAAACCAACTCTCCTGAATCCTGACCTTCCTGCTTGCTCCATAAAGTTTGACTTGATTCCCTCAGTTTTCCTCAGGATTTCAGTGGCTTCCACCTTTTGAAAACAAAAGCTGATTTTCTGAATTATAAATACCAGGCATTCTGATTTTAGCAAATGTAGAGGCTTTTGATACGGATAAAGAAAAGATAAACGAAATCCAGAACCCAAGTCATAGATCTTGAGTCATACACTCAAGCGCAGATTCATGTCAAACTGTTTCCTTTTAGTCTTTCACATATATCTATAGACTTACTTTAAAAATGAAAATTGGCATTGTTTATATATAATTTCTCACCGGGCTTATTTTACCAGTGTTACATTGTGATTATCTCATCAAATTATTCAATATTCTTGAAAATATGAGTTTTCTTGAGCTACAAAGCTATCACAATTGGTATCCTGTTACTGTATTTTGCTTTGTGCCTAATTTTTTTGTTTTATTATATTATCAGTCCCTTAATATGTCATTTTCATAACCACTTTTTCTCTAATGACTCAAAAGCATTCCTTCAGTATTTGTTCTAATGATTACTCTTAAATTTTATATATACTTATCCAAACTTTTTTATAGGTGTAAAAGCCAAGAATAAAAAAGTATCTATGGGTTTCTTGGGTATAAAGTGGGTAATTTTATATAATTTTAATTTTTTATTCTTTCTAGTCAGTTCCTTGTTCCAATAACAATAATGTGAGACTTTATACATGGTGATGATGATGCTGACAATGATAGAATTGATTTTAGGTTTCATGACCATATCATATCTTTTGACATAATTTATGTTTAGCTGAGATTAAGTTATGCAATACATTCTTGAGTTCTTTTGATAGGCTAGAAGATGTATCTGAGTAATTTTTCCCAGAAATTATATGTGAGTGGTATAGCTGGTGAGACCTTGAATCTGGGTGAATCTCTTTCTTTGCCCTCATATATGAAAGATAAGATGGCTGGGTATAGAAGTTTGCTCAGAGAGGTGCATATTCTGTTCCATTGACCTTGGATGATGAAACCCAGTGTTTTCATGTATAAATTACCTGTTTTACCAGCCTGCACAGTTAGAAAACTTTCTTTACCCCTATATTTCAAAATTCTTTGATATATGTTTCAGAATTATTTCTCTTTTAAATAATATTTCGGATACTTCATGAATTTTTCTATCTGAAAACACAGGATTTTATGAACTCTTGAATACATTTAAAAAATATTTTCTGGGCTGGGTGTGGTGGCTCACGCCTGTAATCCCAGCACTTTGGGAGGCTGAGGCAGGCGGATTATGAGGTCAGGAGATGGAGACCATCCTGGCTAACACAGTGAAACCCCATCTCTACTAAAACTACAAAAAAAAAAAAAAAAGCTAGCCGGGTATGGTGGCGGGCACCTGTAGTCCCAGCTACTCTGGAGGCTGAAGCAGGAGAATGGCGTGAACCCGGGAGGCAGAGTTTGCAGTGGGCCGAGATCGCACCACTGCACTCCAGCCTGGGTGACAAAGCGAGACTCCATCTCAAAATAGATATATATTTTTTTCTTTAATTATTTCCTTTTCTGTGTCCTGAATTCCTGGAATTTTTGGAAAAAAATAGGTTGAATATTCATGTCCAGTTCATAGGTTTTTAAATTGTTCTATCAGGGGTTTTTTTTCTCTAAATTTTTGTGAAACATTTATAGTTTGTATTTGTATTTTACCCCACTAATTCAATTTTATGCATTATTCTACTGTTTTCAGTCCTTAATTCATTTATCATGTTTTTTCATATCTATCCAGTTTATTCACATCCTAGCCTATCCCCTCATTTTAGCAGATTGTTCTAGTTTCACATACAAAATTCCTTTTTGGTTTATGTTGTGATAATTAATTAGATGTTTTCTAAAACACTAATTTTTACTGTTTGCTAAACAATCTTACTTTTGCCCTTCAGTACCGGCAATCCTGAGCAAAAGAAGGCTTGCTTTGATTGCCAGTAAAACCCATGTTCTTGTGGCCATAATCTTCACCTCACATAACCTAAACACCCTCCTTGGAATATTACAAAATTCTCCCGTTCCCAGCTGCAGAACTATATGAATTGGATTTACAGATATCATAGTTTTTTTCAGCATCCACATCTTTAACTTGAATTTCAATTAAAACTTATTGGTTGGTCAAAACTTAAACTCTTAGAAGATTTTTTGCTCAGATACCATGTCAAAGTTTAGAGGACGTTCACTGAATCCTTTCCTCTGGCCAGCCTTACTTTCCTGTCTTCCCACCCAGACAGTTTTCCAGAATCTGAGCATTGAAATCTCCTGCCAAACACAATGGATAACACTGAATCTCAATGCTTTCAATGGATGGCATTGAAATCTCCTGCCGAACACAACTGATACTCTGGCTTCATGTTCATGAAGGTTCTTTACACCCCTCTAATCCCCTATCGTACTTCAATGGTTACTTCCAAGGAAGTTCTCCAATCTGCCTTTTGTTGAGGAACTTTTGCATAGAAGAAAGGGCAGGTGTATCCACGCACTAGGTCTAGGTTTGAGGCTGCCTTAAAGTTACTGAGGGCAAGGGGCTTCATAATTTGGAGCCTCACCTTCCCCGTTTATACATGAGGATCATGATAGTGGACAGGCATTTTTCTTAGAAATAAATGAGATAATTTGTATAAACAACTTTTTTTTTGTATTTTGTTATTGTGATCCTTTCTTCATGTCTATTATGTCAAGTGATGTACTTATGTGAAAGGGATTTTTTAATTTTTCTTGTGATTAATATTAACTAAGCACAACGATTATAATTTGCTAAGTTAAACTGAATTAAATTGCTTTATATATCTAGAACCAGACCGGAAATATCTGGGTGGTTATTATAGCTAAATTCCATACTATAGCAATAAGATAAAATATGAGTTATTTACTGTCTAATATGGACATATACATGGCTCTGTATATCTATTTTTCTTCATCAAATATCAAATGCAATATTACACATTAGACACAACAATTAACTTGTGTTCATGTTTCTGAAATTGATTCTAATGTATTTTCTATTGTACTCAGAAATTTACCATCAATTTGCAAGATCTTTATAATGATTATTTAAAGATTACCTTATTTCTTCACCTTTATTGTCTTGAAAAATGGTTTCTGCTCAAAAAGAATTAAATCTGTAAATGACGAGTTAATGGGTGCAGCACACCAACATGGCACATGTATACATATGTAACAAACCTGCACATTGTGCACATGTACCCTAAAACTTTAAGTATAATAATAATAAAATTAAATCTGTATGAAATATTATATATTGGCAATAAAAAATGAAAATAAATGAGATAAAAATAGATGTTCACGCAACCTTAACAACTTTACAATGCTATTAAAGGAAAATTTTAGGAAATTTCCTATTCAGTTGGGAGTTGTCATATTGGAAATGCAAATATGGACGTCAGAGTTACAGATATAGTCAGATGCCTCAACCAAATCAGACCAATGTCACCTTTTCAGATGACAAAATTTGAAGGAGCATTGCACGTTCCAGAGTCCCTTGATTTTCACCTGTAATGATAGCTAGTTACATGAGATGTTCTTGAATTTTGAAATTATAAAGCATTTTTGGGGGGCATGAAATGTTCATGAAAGAATGAGATTTTAAATTTTATTTACATTTCTGTTTTTATCTTTCTAAAAAAATCCTAAATTAATTCTGAAATCATCTTGCTCTATAATCCAACCACTAGAGAGTAGTATAATACCTCTCCTAGACATATCATTCATGAAATTTTATTAAAGTTTTTATTATAGGATCCTTATTTTCTTTTAGTTTAATAATTCTATCAACTCAATTGAAGTTTATATCAATCCCTACAATTTTTTTTTGCAAATAGCTCACTTTTTTCCCCAAATTGCTGAAACTACAAACCTGTCATTTTTCATTTTGCTCTTGCTTTGTCTTGAAATACAGTGACTATTCTTGTCTCCAAACTCTTTGTCTGCTTATTTTGGCAAAATGACAACATTTACACAAGAGATGGCAAGAGGAATGTCCATTTTCTTTATTAGATAACTTCAACAAGCATCCATTAAGCACCAAAAACTTACCAGGCACAGAGTGCAACCAAGGGTATTTCTACAAATAATTACGAGGCTTTTCCTTCCTTTATTGATAAAACACGCAGACAGATGAAGACATAATCTGTGTGTGAGCACAGTGGGTCAAGCGATCAGTACAAATAAGGGTAACGGAGTTCAGAAAGGGGAGAAACCAATGCAGGATGGGCTGTCAGAAAAATGCCACAAAGAAATAGAGGAGTGGGCAGGAGCAGAGCCTTGAAGGACAGGTATGAAGCAGAGCGTTAAATCAAATGTGTCCAATCCAGAAAAAGGGGATCCCCTCATGTCCAGCCAAGGCAGGACTTTTCACATCATGTCCAAGTGTGCAGGTCATTTTATTGAAAAAAATATATTTGCACAGAAAAACTGATGAAGTCTAGATTGCAAATAACCTCTTTTGCCTATTTTGGAAGTTTGAAGTAATCCTGTGTGCCTGTAGTTCCCAACCTTTTTTTCTGCCTAAAAATAGAAAATCTGAGCTATAAAACCTATGTGTCATTAATAAAAATGGATAATGATGACAGCGATGCATGACATGATGGTGCCGTCCTGAGAGTTGGGGGAAGGTGTGTATAGGGATTGCGGCAGGGGTTGGGAGAGTTTAGAGAGGGGAAGCAGTGTATAAGGATGAGAAGACCCTCGAAGAGGGTCCCACCGGCCCCCTGGGGAGCCTGTGCAAATGGTGCCTCACAGCAATTACCTTGCCAGGGTGTGAGATCTCCCTTAGAGGGATAGAGGCATTTGTGCAGTTCTGCAGATCAGATTTCTCCAGGGCCAGGGCAACTTCCCTGTCCAGGCCTAGGCCAGTTCTTTTGTCCTTTCAGGATTCTAGATTTCTCTTCCAGTATTATCACAATGTCTCCTAAGCAACTGTGCTCCTTGAAAACATTTGGTCTCACTCCTCAGCATCTTGCACAGTGACCATCCAGACCTGGGTCATTCATTAGTTTGTCTACCTCATATTCATTTCTCTTTGAAATACATCTATAACTCAGTATATTAGCTCTGTTTGTTGTTTGAACAGTCTAACAGTGGTGCCACCAACTTTTGGCACGCTCTGTTAAAGAGACTGTAGATGACAGTGCCCTTTTATATTCCGCCATGTTGCACTGCTATTTTGTCCTAGAAATTGAGCCAGTTAAATTCCATCTGTCTTTTCTTTTTTTATAACTATATAAAATCATGTATCCTACATTTAAATATAAATACAGAGCTTTGTTAGAAAAAATCAGGCTCGTTTGATGATAATCTTTAATTTGATATCAAGAAATACATTCTATTGAGTACCTAACATGTGAAAAACGTCCAAATCAAATTCCAGGTCTTTTTTTCTCAGGCTTTTTCTTCCTTTGTTTCCATGGAATCACACCTTCTTTCTGTAGCTTTGATCCTGGAAAATGTTGTAGGCATATATTATAAATCCTGCTATATGTAACTTTGGATATATTTTATTGAGGGTAAGAAAATTGTCTCTTGGTTACTTGTGAATATCTATATGCTGAATAAAGCTGAGATGAATAAATAGCTCTTCCTTCCTTTGTCCCATGTCTTGATAAATTATCTTTTTAGCTTTTAGACCTGATGACTTACCTTGTGCTTTATCAGAACACTTTGTTGCCTTAGGCAGGTTCATGTCGGCAGGTAATGACTCACTCGAGATATTCTCTGCACTTTGATAATAATAATCTGTGATTTTTGAGACATACCTATATAGCTAACTGGATCAATGTATTTCACACTGCAGGTTGCACTCATTGTTAGGATCTGAAATACATTTAATATTGTAAGGCCAACATTAAAGAAAAAGAAAGAGAAAAATAGGGACTAAGCAATATCAAAATGTACCTCATGGAAAAAGTGTAAATTATTCATTAATATTTTGCATTCCCACAAGTAATAGTTGAAAAGTTTAGTTGTCTCAGTTCTTCACAGTACGTTTTAATTTTAGCTATTCTAGGAGGTATGCGTTGGTATCTCATTGTGGTTTTACTTTACATTTCCCTGAAAATGATATTAAACATTTAAAATATGCTAATTGACTGTTCATATATCTCCTTTCACTAAGTATCTGTTCAAATATTTTGCACATTGTAAATGGCAAAGAAGACTTTTGTTTTCTTATAGTCGAGTTCTAAGAACTCTTATATGTGCTAGATACCGGTCCCTTATCATATATATGTTTTGTAAATATTTTCTCTTAATCTGCAGTTGGACTTTTTATTTTCTTAAACGTATTTTTGGAAGAGCAATGGTTTTCAGCTGTGATGTAACTTGTTTTATAAATATTTTTTCTTTTATAGCTCAAATTATTTTTGTCCCATATAAAACATCTTTGCTTAGCCTAAGGTCACTTCCGTTTTCTTAAATGTTTTCTTCCAGAAATATTACAGTTTCAGCTCTTACATTTAGGTCTATGAGCTACTTCAAGTTAAGTTCTGTATATGGTTTGAAGCAATAATTGAGGTCCATTTTGGCCATACAGATTTCTTAGTTTTTTTTCCCCTATGTATGTTCACATATTCCAGCACTACTTTTTGAATTTTTTCTTTCTCCATTGAATTACCTGTGCACATTTGTTGAAAACCAATTAACTCTATCTGTGTGGGTCTGTTTTCAGAATCTAATCAGCTCCTTAGGTCCCTATGTTTATCTTTGTGTGAATAATATACTGTCTTGATTAGGTAACTCTATAATGAGTCTTAAAACCAAGTAGTCTAAATCCTTTCACTTTGTTCTTATTCAAAGTTGTTTCAGTCATCCTGTATCTTTGGAATTTCCTTGCAGACTTTATAATTAGTTTGTCAATATCCTGCTGGGATGATGATTGGGATTGCATTGAATCAAGAGAAATAGGAGAAATTGGCAAAAACAAAGGGGCTACAGGCCCCATGTAAGTCCCAAATCCAGTAGGGCAGTCAAATCTTAAAGCTCCAAAATGATCTCCTTTGACTCCATGTCTTGCATCTGGGTCATGCTGATGCAAGAGGTGGGTTCCCATGGTCTGGGCAGCTCTGCCTCTGTGGCTTTGCAGGGTATAGCCTCCCTCCTGGCTCCATTCATGGGCTGGTGTTGAGTGTCTGCAGCTTTTCCAGATGCATGATGCAAGTTGTCAGTGGATCTACCTTTCTGGGGTCTGGAGGACAGTGGCCCCCTTCTTTTGGCTCTACTAGGTGGTGCCCCAGTAGGTACTCTGTGTGGGGACTCTGACCCCACATTTCCCTTCTGCACTGCCGTAGCAGAGGTTCTCCATGAGGGCCCTGCCCCTGCAGCAAACTTCTGCCTGGGCATCCAGGCATTTCCATACATGTTTTAAAATCTAGGTGGAGGTTCCCAAATCTCAATTCTTGACTTCTGTGCACTCGCAGGGTCAACACCATGTGGAAGCTGCCAAGACTTGAGGCTTGTACCCTCTGAAGCCACAGCCTGAGCTCTATGTTGGTCCCTTTCAGCCACAGCTGGAGCAGCTGAGATGCAGGGCCCCAAGGCCCTAGGCTGCACACAGAGACCTTGGGCTTGGCCCATGAAACCACTTTTTCCTTCAGGTCTGTGATGGGAGGGGCTACAGAGGTCTCTGACATGCCCTGGAGACATTTTCCCCATTGTCTTGGGGATTAACATTTGGCTCCTAGTTACTTATTCAAATTTCTGCAGCAAACTGGATTTTTCCTCAGAATATATTTTCTTTTCCATCGCATGGTGATGTTACAAATTTTCCCAACCTTAATGCTCTGTTCCCCTTTTAAAACTGAATGCCTTTAACAGCACCCTAGTCACATCTTGAATGCTTTGCTGCTTAGAAATTCCTTCCACCAGATACCCTAAATCATATCTGTCAAGTTCAAAGTTCCACAGATCTCTAGGGCAGGGGCAAAATGCCATCAGTCTCTTTGTTAAAACATAACAAGAGTCACCTTTGCTCCAGTTCCCAACAAGTTCCTCATCTCCATCTGAGACCACCTCAGCCTGGGTTTCATTGTCCATATAATTATCAGCATTTTTGTTAAAGCCATTCAACTAGGCTCTAGGGAGTTCCAAACTTTCCCATATTTTCCTGTCTTCTTCTGAGCCCTCCAAACTGTTCCCAGCCTCTTCTTGTTACCCAGTTGCAAAGTCACTTCCACATTTTCAGGTATCTTTTCATCAGCACCCCACTGGACTGTACCAATTTACGGTATTCGTCCATTTTCATGCCGCTGATAAAGACATACCCAAGACTGGGCAATTTACAAAAGCAAGAGGTTTAACTGGACCTACAGTTCCACATGGCTGGGGGAGCCTCAAAATCATGGCAGAGGCAAGGAAGAGCAAGTCACATCTTAGATGGATGGCAGCAGGCAAAGAGAGAATGAATGCCAAATGAAACGGGTTTCCCCTTATCAAACCATCAGATCTTGTGAGACTTATTCACTACCACAAGAACAGGAAAGCGAAAGACCCAACTCCATAACCCAAACAACTCCCACCAGGTCCTTCCCACAACACATGGGAATTATGGGAGCTACAAGATGAGATTTGGGTGGGGACACAGAGCCAAACCATATTAGTGAGTATTGGTAGTTTGTGGTTTTATGAGAAACTAGTCTAAGGTGTTTAATTTGTATGTGTAGAATTGCCCATATTATTCTCTTATTATTCTAATATCTGGAAGATCTTCAGTGGCATCTCGTATTTCATTACTTATATTGGTAATGTGTGTCTTCTCTCATTTTCACTTCTTCAGTCTTTCTGTTTATCACTTTGATATCTATTTCACATCAATGGTTTTAGCTATTATAACTTATGTTGAGTAGTGTTTATGTGAGATTTTTTGTTTGCCTTATTTTTTATATCTTTTTGCTTTAACCTTTCTATGACTTAACTTAAAGTATGTTTCTTTTACACAGCATATGATTAGGTCTTGCATTTTATACAATCTGATAATATTTGCTTTTTAGTTGAAATACTTGCAGTATCAAAATTCAGTGTGATTATTGACAATGTTGGGTTTCAGTCTTGCTATTTGTTTTCTGCTTATCCTATCTATCCTTTGTTCTATCTTTCCCCCTTTCTTGCCTTCTTTTGGATTAAGTCCATATTTCATTGTATTAATTGTATAAAACATTATTTTGTCTCCATTCGTGGCTTATTCTGCCCCTCTTTTGTTGTTATTGTTTGCTTGTTTGTTTTCCCCTACAATTCAGTGTGTGTGTGTGTGTGTGTGTGTGTGTGTGTGTGTGTGTGTGTGTGTATATAATTACTGTCTATCTTCAAGTAATATTGAGTCTGGTCACATATATTGTTGAATCTTATTACAGTGTATTTCCAATACTCCCCTGCTAGACTTGCTACTATTTTTGTGTGTATTTTATTTCTACATATGATGTAAACTTCACAAAATATGGTTAATTATCTTTTAAATGGTTAATTATCTTTTAAAGATATTTTAAAACTGATAATAAAAGGTGTTACATTTAACCACATATTTTCTGACTCTCATGCTCCTCACTTGTTTACATCGGTTGAATTTTTTCTGATGTTCTTTTCTTTCTGCCAGAAAGGCTCCTGTGAGCAGTTTAGTGCAGGTCTGTGGGCAATGACTTCTTTCTACTTTGGTTAGTTTTAGCAAGACTCAACTTTACTTACTTTTTTGAATTTTTTTTTTTTGTACTGTATAGAGAATTCTATATCAACAGTTTTTCTTTGAAAACTTTACAAGTGTCACCCCATTGTCTCTGGTTTGCATGGCAAAATCTTGTCTTTCTTGTCTTCATTTGTTCGTAATTTAACCCTGGCCCCTTTAGATATTTTTTTCTTCATGACTGGCTTTCAGCAGTTTGATAATGATGCATCTCGGTGTTGTTTTCTTCATATGTCCTTGGCTTAATATTAACGGTACTTATTGCATCTGTGGCTTTATAGTTTCATCAACTTTGGAACTATTTATTTCAATACTCCCTTCAAATATTTTTTCTGTTCTATCTCTTCTTTCCTCTGATAGGAGTCCTAACTCTGCCTCCCCTAAGTCTCTAATTGCACATATTCTATACTGCTTGATATTACACTTCAAGTCATTGATGCTTTGTTCATTTTTATCTGGTTCTTTTTCTATCCGTATTTCATTTTGTGTAGTTTCTATTGTTGTTTATGAGTTCACAGATGATTTCTTCTGCATTGCCCAACTTCCTATTAATCCCAACCAATGATAATTTTTCATTTCAGATATTAAATTTCTTATCTTCTAAAGTCTTACTTGGGTTTAATTTTTATATTCTATTTCCATTTATACTATCCTTTTTCTGCCTTCTTGAAAATGGCACATATTTATGATCCGTGTTTTAATTTCCTTGCCTGTTAATTTTATCATCTGTTTCATTTCTTTATTTTTTGGACTGTTAAAATGGATTTATTTTTCTCCATATATATAATTTTGCTTTATATAATATATACATATTTCTGCTTTAGACATGTTTTGTAATTGTTTAGTGGATGTCAGCCATTTTGAATTTTATGTTTTGGGTGCTGGATTTTTTAGTTTTCTTTCAATATTGTTGGACAGTTTACTGGGATGCAGTTGAGTTACTTGGCCTCAATATGATTCCATCAAGCCTTGCTTTAAGCCTTGTTTGCACAGTTCTTGTTTGCATGGTTCCAGTCTAGAACTGATTGGCTCCCTTACTAAGGTAATATTAATACAATTCTGTGGTTTCTACTTGATTTCTCAAATATTCAGACATACTTTCACTGACTTGCAGGGATACAAACTATTCCCACCTCTGTATGAGCTCCAGTGATTCTTGTTCTTGCCGTAGCCTTGGCTAATCTTCCCACATGCATTATCAGAATAACTCAATAAAAGACAGGGGTGGGCCCTCTGTAAAACTCAGGATCTGTCCACCTCTCACTAGGATTCCTCTAGTACTTTTTCCTACATTCTAGCTCTGTGGCCTCTTCAGCGTTGAAACTGTGCTCTCAACTCAGAGAAGAGACCATCAGGCTGGTTGGGTCATCTCTGGAAAAGCAGAGATTTCACTTTGTTCGCTTTCCTTATTTCAGGCTTCCCTGCATGTTTTCCAAATTTATAAATCACTATTTCATATATTTTGACCATGACTCAAGTTGCATAAGATAAAAGGGAAAATAGGGACTTTCTTAATCAAGGCTGAATGTGGAAGTGATTATAGTGTAATGTAACATTTAAAAATACAAATTACATTCTAATGGAACTTTTTAATGCCATAGCTCTCAATACTCAGAAGCTAAAGGTATTGCCAGTATTTACTGTACAGTTTTTATGACTATGTATTTGGGAGCAGTTTTGAAAATACACCCTTAGGTATTTAAATTATTCTTTAGGCTTAATGGTTTTCTTTCTTTGTAAGCATTAATATTGAACTATAATTGTTATCCAAATAAATATTTAGTGATTTCTCAGAGAAAAAGATAACCACACATTACCTAAACACCTGGATAGGTCAGATGATAATATTCTAGTTCCATTCATAACATACTAAAAATGGACTATTTGGAGATTGCTACCTATTAGAGAATAAATGTCTCATTTATCGGAATCACACTAGCCTACGAACTCTAGTTATGTCATTTAAAATTATGACTGGCATCATGGGGCACACAGTGACTGCACTGCACATGTGAGTGAACACGTCACTCCAGCTGTGTGTCAGACAGGGGTACTGCATCATCCCTCCTGTAGGAATGAGTGGGCTCGGGGAAGGAAAATGGAGGGCACATCAACAGACAAAAACAAAGCCTACTGAA
The DNA here is from genome assembly GCF_000001405.40 of Homo sapiens. Classification (NCBI taxonomy): domain Eukaryota; kingdom Metazoa; phylum Chordata; class Mammalia; order Primates; family Hominidae; genus Homo; species Homo sapiens. The sequence goes on along the minus strand of NW_025791814.1, from coordinate 548,301 downwards.
TATCCATAAATGATGTAACTAAATCTTAGGATAGAAGAAACCTACAAGAACCAATGCCAACTTACGACTGATGAATGTCTGTTGCTGTGTCAGAAATAAAAGATATTCAATTTTCAGGTTGTCAATGCTCCTCACTAAATGTGTTCCCCAAACTGAATGTGATGCCCAGATGATCTCGTAGGGCAATTTCCAGCAAATGTCTCATAACCAGCATGTCCCTTCACATTGTTTGTCAATAGCCTTTCAAGCCCTTAAAGCTCAACATTTCCAGAATGTATGGTTTCCCATTCTAATGATAATCTATTTTAATAAGTTACCTTAAATTCCAGCTTTTCAGTGTCCTGTCCCCCCACCCTATCACAGACCTTCCAACTTAGTAACCATTCTTTCTTTCTCATCATCCACGTCATCAATGAAAATTGTCAATGCTAACCCTGAATTATTTAGGCTTAGTGTACTTCATTCTTTATTTAATATATTCTTTGTTTTCATGTTGGGCACCGAGATGACCCAGGGCTTAGATAATTCTGTGCCTCCTTGTAGCAACACAAACCTATTTTCAGGCAAAGATGGGTAATATCTTCTGTTGTTAAAACACAGTGAACACAGTTCTGTAGTGCTGTGTAAACCCACCAGGTAGCCAGCGAGCCTTATAAAGAGCTAAGTTCCTTTGATGGGCTCCTTGAAAGATAAGGAACCATCAAGATATTCCTCTGGATCTGGTTCACACCCAGAAGGGTTATAACCAGTTATTAAGAGATGCATAACAAATCACCCAGAAAGTTATTACTCAAGATAAACATCATTGTACAGCTTATATTAATAAGTTTTTGGGACAGGAAGCAGAGCAGGGTTCTGGAGGGCAGCTTGTCCCTGCTTCACATGCTGTCACCTGGACTGGGTCTGAAGAATCAAAAGTGGCCTCCCACCTGTCTAGAACCTCAGCTGAGACAGCCCAAATGAGTGGGCTTGCAGACCTCTGGAGCCTCGCTACTCTTCCACATGACCCTTGTCTTTATATGGAGTGTCTCATCCTCCAGGGTCTCCCCTCCATGTGACCTCCCTCTTTATATTAGGAAGTTTGGATTCCTTCTTATGTCTGCTGGGTTCCACCTGAGCAAAATTAGAAGCTTGAAAGACCTCCAAAGGGTCACCTTGAATCTCCCAGGACATTACCTGCATTGCTTTCTATTGGTCAAAGCAAGTCACAAAGCCATCCCAGATTTAAGGGGCAGGAAGAGTCCCTACCCTTGAATCTGGGAGTTAAGGCAAAGTTGTCTCACAAATGGGTTGTTGACATGGAGAGGACTGATTTATTGGAGACCTTCTCTTTTTAAAATTTAGTTTTAGTGGACACATAAAAATTGTATATACTTATGTTGCACAACATGCTGTTCTGAAATATATATACAATGTGGAAATGTACACAATTTATTCTAACTGAGCTAAATTAGATAAAGCTAATTAAAATATATATTACTGCAGACTCATTTTTTGTGGTGTGAACATTTAAAACCTATGCTTATAATGATTTTCAGGTATACAATACATTGCTATTAACTATAGTTGCTATGTTGTACAATATATTTCTTGAATTTATTCCACCTGTTTAACTGAAAGTTTATATTCTTTAGCTCGTATCTCTCCAATCCCTCCACCTGTCAGCCCCAGGTAACCACCATTCTACTCTCTGCTTTTATGAGTTCAAGTTTTTAGATTCTACCTATGAGGCTGGGTGCGGTGGCTCACATATGTAATCCCAGAATTCTGGGAGGTCGAGGCAGGTGGATCACTCGAGGTCAGGAGTTCCAGACCAGCCTGGCCAACACGGTGAAACCCTGTCTCTACTAAAATTTAACAACAACAAGAAGAAGAACAAAAAACACAAAAATTAGCATGTATGGTGGCACACACCTATAGTCTCATCTACCTGGGAGGCTGAGGTGGGAGAATCACTTGAACCTGAGAGGTGGAGGTTGCAGTGAGCCGAGATTGTGCCACTGCACTCCAGCCTGGGTGACATAGCCAGACCCTGTCTCAAAAACAAACAAACAAACAAAAACGTTTTACATATGAGTGAGATCATGTGGTATTTGTCTTTCCGTGCCTGGCTTGTTTCACTTAGCGTAATGTCCTTCAGGTTTATCCATGTTGTTTCAAATGGCACGATTTCATTGCTTTTTTAAGGCTGAGTTGTATTTCATGGTTTATACATATTTTCTTTATTCATTAATGCTTTGGTGGACACAGGTTGATTCTGTATCTTGGCTATTGTGAATAATGCTGCAGTGAATATGGGAGTGTAGCTGTCTCTTCAAATATTGATATCATTTCCTTTGGATAAATACCAACTAGTGGGACTGCTGGATCATATGGTAGTTCTATTTTTAGTTTTTTGAGGAGCTTCCATACCATTTTCCATAGTGACTGTCCTAGCTTATGTTCTCCACCAACAGTTCATAGGGGTTCCCTTTTCTCTACATTCTCACCAACTCTTGTTTTCTTTCATCTTATTGAAAATAGTCATTATAACAGGTATGAGGTGATACGTTATTGCGGTTTTAAATTGCACTTCCCTGATGATCAGCAATGTTGAGCATTTTATCATATACCCCTTGGCCATTTATATATCATCTTTCTTTGTTGTTGTTGAGACAGAGTCTCACTCTGTTGCACAGGCTGGAGTGCAGTGGTGCAATCTCGGCTCGCTGCAACTGCTCCCTCCCAGGATCAAGCGATTCTCATGCCTTGCCCTCTTGAGTAACTGGGATTACAGGTGCACGCCACCACACCCAGCTAAATTTTGTATTTTTAGTAGAGACGGGGTTTCGCTGTGTTAGCCAGGCTGGTCTTGAACTCCTGACCTCAAGTGATCCACCTGCCTTGGCCTTTCAAAATGCTGGGATTACAGGCATGAGCCACTGTGCCCGGCTATATATCATCTTTTATAAAACAAGTATTCAAGTCCAGTCCCCATTTTTTAATTAGATTATTTGCTTTCTTGTTATTGTATTGAGTCTCTTATGTATTTTGGATATTATCAGATATATGATTTGCAAATATTTCCTTTCATTTTGTAGGTTGTCTCTTCATGCTGTTGGTTATTTCCTTTGCTGTGCAGAAGCTTTTTAGTTTGATATCATCCATTTCACTATGTTCCCTTTATTGCCTGTGCTTTTCGGGTCAAATACACAAAAATTATTTGCCCAGACCAATGCCATGTGGCTTTTCTACTGGGGACCACTTTTAGCATATATCACTAATGCTTACCCCCAAAATTGCACCAGTGGATATAATGCTAGGTCTTGATAAATTGCTCAACTCCTAAGTGCATGCATAGATATTATATACACAAGGTCTCAGAGGGATAATATGGTAAGATGGCTGCTCTGATCCCAGTTTAATGCATGAAAGACCCTGTTACATTTTCCCAGGGTCTACCTCTGCTCAGTGCTTTCAGAACATAAGCATCACTCAGTATGAAAATTATTATTTTTACTAGACAATATACGCCACTAGATTCTCAGTTCCTGGGGGCCATGGGCTATGTCCCATTCACCTTTGCATCTCCCATACTTCATGGCTTCTGTTATACGGGAGCCAGCTGCCCAGTTGAAAAACCAAAATAGCTCAACTTGAATAATACATATTTTGTACTGAAGCAAATTAAAAGCCTTGCTGTAACCACACTAAATTATTTCATATGTCTCTGAGATCCTAGAATCTATTGCCTAGGTCTGTTACTGGGTGTGCCTGCTGACCTCATGAATATCAGTCATTTTAGGAAAGATGATCCATCCATTGAATCAAAATGGAAATGAATTTGAAGCAAACAGTGCCAGGAGTGCAAACTGAGGAGACTTTCCTAGAGGATGACAGCACAGTGAGCTCCAGTCAAGGAGGGACCACGCCTTCCTCCACTCACTATTCTATATCCAACCCCTGGCCTGGAGCCTGGTGTATGACAAGCCCTATGTGTTAAATGGAGTGTTGGCAATGATAGAACTTTCCGGAGAGGATATCTAAAAGTGGAATTATTCCCTGTGTTTATTTAAGTGCAATTCAAAGAGCAGGTTTTTCAGAGACACACAGGAGGAGCCTGGAAAATCTGTGACGTGTTAAGGGACTTGTGCTGTATTAAAGAAACACCAGGTTTCCAAGGAAACCCTTTTAGCCTTGTGCTTAATGTTTGCTCTTCTGCCCTCAAGAGGCCCAGTGAACACACAATTGTTTATAACTAGTCAAGAGACTGGATCTTAGGAAATCACTTGCAAAATTGTCCAAAATTCCTCTAAAATCTTTGATCTAAGAGATCTCCAACCGCCTCTTGGTTCACAGAATCTGAAACAGTATCTTAACTGTTTCACTTTGCTATTTATGTACATTTCCAGAACATTTTGCAAATGTAAAGTGCCTCGTAGCAGCATTTTGTTTGTACCATAGATGAATCCCTTTGAAGTTAACCTTTATTGAGGCAATTGTTAAATGCAGTATCATGAACTTGTGTTCACAGAAGACAGGAAAAGTGTAAGCTATAGGTCTGAAATAAGAGAGAAATAAGAGAGTCAGCAAGGGACACAGCAGTCCATCTCAGGGCTTTCTCATTTATGTTAAAAAGGGAATTAACATAGATAATCTATGTCAGTTTCTTGGCACAATGCTGAACAGGTAGTTCAGTAAGTTGTAGCCATGATGGTGATCATGATGATGATGAATGATTTGGAAACAGACATGCCTGATTTTCATATTATTTTCTAAGATATTTTCTTCATCAAATGTTCTGAACACTTAAAACTTAACTGCTGTATGCTTGTCACAGGCACATTCAATACTCAAGCTTTATTAATGAGCATAATGTCCTCATCAGCCATTCAAGTCTAGGGCCTTCTATCACATTTTAGGCTCAACTATCTTCTTTTGTGATTTTGTCATTGGTAGCCTCATGGTGAAATTTATGGCTCTACAGAGAGAAGGGCATGTGTATTGTGTGTGTGTGTGTGTGTGTGTGTGTGTGTGTGCACATGCATGCTTGCATACATGTATGTAAGCATGTGTGTTGATGACAATGATTAGCCTGCCAAACCACCCATGTAAGAAATCGGCTGTATAAGGCATAGTTTGTTAAACCACAAGTCTGATTTTAAGGTTTCCAAAGAAAATTCCACTGGGCATTGTCTTTAATTTATTCTTTGTAAAATAGATTTACTCTGTAGTCCCAGCTACATGGGATACTGAGGTGGGAGGATCACTTGAGCCCAGGAGGCAGAGGTTGCAATGAGCTGAGATTGCATCACTGCACTCCAGCCTGGGTGACAGAGTGAGACCTTGTCTCAAAAAAAAAAAAAAAGATTTACTAATCACCTGGACATTAAAAAATTGTTCTTTTAAAATGTACATTCTCCATTAAAGTATGCTAGTTCATTGATACCTTTTCCTTTTTAATATTTCAAGGGATCACTGGAAATATATAGTGATGCTTTTAATAATTATGTCCTTTCTAATCATTCCACATCATTGAGCGTGTTAAGCACACATGATGTCAGCTTTGGTGCTTGATAGAAATGATACAAGGTTGGCATGTTATTGGAAGTGCCTGCTTTCAGTGTCTAGTGAAGGATATTGGGAAATAGTTAAATGAGCCAGAATAGGGAATTACTATGAATTATGGGGTGGGGGGGTATAATCTTGCTTCCAAATTTTCTCAATTGTGTTAATTCATTTTTTCCTGTACTTGTCTCTCTTAAGTAATACAAAGAAATAATTTATTGATAGCTATTGCCTTACTCTGAGTTTTGATATGTCATTAAAATTAAGCCTTAAAACTTTGTATTTTGAAAGGTCAAAAAATGGTTAGTATAATGAGAACCTGACTTCCTAAACCTAAAATTAAAATGTATCTCAGAATCAATTGAATTTTTCCTTCAAGAAATTGTTGTTAAATCTTCCTCTCAATAAATTAAAAAAAAAAAAACAAATAAAAAAGACAATGTCAATTTTGAGTTAAGTGCCATTTTTTTTAATCCTGTTTATCTACAAGGAGCCACAGTCTGCCTAACTTTAGGTAAAGAAAAGCAGTATCACTTGGAAATATATAGATAGTTTACTCCCCGTGGAAAAAATCATTATTTCTCCATTTAGAAATAATTTCACATTTAAGATCTCTAGAACTTTACTTTTTCCCTAGGCAGATACTTGTTCTAATGATCTGAGAGGTAAAAACTCTTAGCTTAGCTTCTTCTTAGGAATCTAATACCATTTGTCTTAAAAATAATATATTTTAGCCGGGCGTGGTGGCTCGAGCCTGTAATCCCACCACTTTGGGAGGCTGAGACGGGCAGATCACGAGGTCAGGAGACTGAGACCATCCTGGCTAACACAGTGAAACCCCGTCTCTACTAAAAATACAAAAAAAAATTAGCCGGGCGTGGTGGCGGGCGCCTGTAGTCTGTAGTCCCAGCTACTCGGGAGGCTGAGGCAGGAGAATGACGTGAACCCAGGAGGCGGAGCTTGCAGTGAGCCGAGGTGGCACCACTGTACTCCAGCCCGGGCGACAGAGCGAGACTCTGTCTCAAAAAAAAAAAAAAAAAAAAAAAAAAAAGGAATAAGAATAATAAGAATAAATTTTACTTGACCATTTAGAAATCATAAATGTTCCCTGTCAACCACACGGGGAACTTAAAAGGGGGAAACATTTGATTATTGTCCAGTGTTGCTCTGCTCAGTTGGGTGTAAAATATAGCTAGCAAGGCTGGGCCGACTTCTGGAGAAAGAGGAAGGAGAGCTGGCAAGACGGGCCCATGGCAGGTCTCCAGGTCAGCAGCCTCCAGAGGGGAACATGGGGCCCCTTTGGAAGGCCCTGGCTTGGGCTGGGCTTTGTGCTGTTCTCTTGACCCTGGTGGGAACATGGCTGTAAGAATACCATCCCTGTCTACTCTCCTTATATCCTTTGTAACATATGATTATCCCATCTGCAGCACATTTTAAATCACAATGCCAAAGTGCAACAGTCCTCAAGGAGTGGTCCCTGCACGCTTGATGGTCTCCAAGACCCTTTAGGGATTTGCAAGGTCAAAACTACTTTCAAGATAATATTGAGATATCATTCACTTTCTTTGTTGTTTTGACATCTGCAATGGTGGATAAAATTGCTGGTGTCTCAGCAGGTGTCAAGGCTGCGGGATCCAATTATACTTGTTTTGTGTAAATAGTGTACTATATTCTTCACTGCTACACACTAACAGAAAAAAAAATCCAATTTTATTGAGAATATCCTTTATGCAGCCATATAATTATTAGTTTTATTTTATCTCAACCCTTGAGTATATGACTTTTTAATAGCCTCTGTGAGGAAACAGGAAATGTATTCCCATAAAGTGTGGTTATTTTGAGGAAAAGCATTTGAGTGGTTGAGCTGCAAGCTGAAATAATCCTTTTCTTAATAGAACTTTAAAAAAGTTACTTTTCCTGTTACTGTTACTTTTACTTAGCGGAACAAGGGACAGAAAACTATGGTAATTTGGACTACAGATGACAGTTATTTTCTCAAAGTATGAACCAAGGTGATCCTGTTACTTCAAGGAAAATAACCAACAGTATTTGATTCAATGGTAAAATTTTTCAAACAAAAATTCAAATTGTGGAAAAACTGTATCCACCATTATGTACTTGACAGCCTCCCAATATTTAAAGAACTTTTGTGATGAGATCAGTGATTATATTAACAAATATGATTTTTTAGTGTTATATATTGAAACCTGTCAACATTTGAAAGATCTGCATAACTCAGTGAACTATAAATGACTAATGCATGATGTTACAAAAGTCATGCATTAGTAATAGATCCATTTAAAGCTCAAGATAGGGCAATCAATTTTAACATAACAGAGTATGAAAATACCATTCCAACTAACCTTTAAGAAATTACCCCAGAAGGCCAGGCACAGCGGCTCATGCCTGTAATCCCAAAGCTTTGGGAGGCCAAGGCAGAAGGATTGCTTGAGGCTAGGAGTTCAAAACCAGCCTAAGCAACATAGCAAGACCTTGTCTCTACAACAAAAGTTTTTAAATTAGCTGGGTGCTCATGCCACTGCCTTCCAGCCTAGGCAAGAAACCCAGACCCTGTCTAAAAAGAAAGAAAGAAAAAAAACTTACCTCAGTAGAATATTCACAATTACTTACAAAGACTATTAAAACACTCCTTTATTTTCCATCTACATATCTCTGTAAAGCCTGAATGCAGATGCAGATATGAGAATTGAGCATTCTATTAGGGTAGACGTTAAAAAGATTTATGAAAATATAAACAATATTACTCTTCTAGCTATTTTTTTGTTTTGGAAAATACAATGTTTTCATTAAAATATTTTTAAATAATGTAATGGGGTTACTATTTCATTTTTAAAATAAATACATATTTTAAAATCTTTTAAGATTTCTACCACACTAAATATAAATAGCTACAAATCACATAATGAAACCTCTTTATGGTCTCCAATAATTTGGAAAAGTGTAAAGGGGCCCTGAGACCTGCTGCACGGGAGGAAGGTGCTCCCGGAACAGGGAGAAAGGTTGAGTCTGGGGAATGCTGACCATGACACCTGCTTCAAACACAGATTCCCTGTGGCTGTTTTTCCTCTAGGATTCTGTTAAAAATCCTGTTGAAGAATCCATTCCACATATGGGTAAAATTTAGAAATATGTTCCCTGGAACTGGGAAATCCAGGGACAGGAGAAAAAAGCAGCAACATTGCTTTGTTACTTTGTTTTACTTGCTACATCAGACAAAAAACAAAAAGGAATGGATATAATTATTTTACGTACCTCTTAAGGGCAGTGTGAGGTTTATGTGAGTCAACGTTTATAATGCACTTAAGGCATACTTGTCACTACTAAGTTTATATAAATTCTTGTTAAATAAAAATGAATGAATGAATGAATAAGCAGCTTCTAACAGAAACCGTGGCAGCATTTTTTGCTGAGCACATTGCTAGGCAGTAACTAAATTAATATGATGCTTGACCTCAGAGATTTAGGAAGTTGGTCCAATCTAGGCACATGCAGAGAAGATACGTTTAGAATTCTGAATTTTGATGGATATTATCTCAAATATCTTTCTGAAACACAGCGAAATATAAAGACTTTTATAAAATCAGATAGCATGCACACAGGAATTGACAATCCAGGCTCTCCAGTTTAAGTAGGTGGATTTCCTAAAGAACTCTAAAGATATTTAGGAACTAGAAGTGACTCAGCTTCCAATATAGAAACCCTTTTCCACCCATACTCTCAAAATCAATGTGAAATAGCTATTTGTAGATGGAATCTTTGGACTCCTATGTTTTGTTTTGTTTTGTTTTGTTTTGTTTTGTTTTGTTTTGTGAGACAGGGTCTTCCTCTGTCACCCAGGCTGAAGTGCAGTGGCACAGTCATAGCTCTCTGCAGCCTTGACCTCCCAGTTTCAAGCAGTCTTCCTGCCTCAGCCTCCCAAGTAGCTGAGACCACAGGCATGTGCCATCACACCCAGCTAAGTTTTCTATTTTTGTAGAGTCAAGGTCTGGCTATGTTGCTCAGGCTGGTCTCAAACTTGTAGGCTCAAGCTACTTGCCTGCCTTAGCCTACTAAAATGCTGGGATTACATGTGTAAGTGACTGCACCTGGTCTGGACCCCAATTTGGCTGAATCATTCATTCCTCAAGCAACAAGTACTTACATGGGAGATACAAAGAAAACAATATTGCCTCTTCTTAGAAAGAAACTCCTAGGCTGGGTGCGGTGGCTGACACCTGTAATCCCAGCATTTTGGGAGGCAGAGGTGGGCAGATCCCGTCCCTACTAAAAATACAAAAATTAGCTGGGTGTGGTGGCACACACCTGTAGTCCCAGCTACTTGGGAGGTTGAGGCAGTAGAATCGCTTGAACCCAGGAGGTGGAGGTTGCAGTGAACTGAGATCATGCCACTGCACTCCAGCCTGGCGGCAGAGTGAGACTCCATCTCAAAAAAAAAAAAAAAAGAAAGAAAAAAGAAAGGAAAGAAACTTCTAATTTCACAGTGGAGATTTCAGTGTGTATGCATAATTCCAAAGTTAGCGGAGCAGACAGAGCAAGGGTGTTGGGACTGTAGAGCCCTAGAGGCTAATTTTAAGTCCAGCTCCAATCATTTTGTATCTGTGTGACAGCAAGCAAGTTATTTATTATTTTAAACATGGGATAGGGAATTGGGGGTATTTTGACATTTTAGGAAGAGGAAATGAATGGTGTGAGTGAGCACAGGGGAGAAAACTGCAAGGTCTGTTGGGAACCATTTGGAGTCAACTGCAAAAGGGATCCGGGCTGTAGGTTAGGATCTGGGACAAGGTCATGTTTAAGGGGACCTTGAACTTCAGGATGCTCAGAATAACTGAGGAACCATTAACATTGGGTCACTTCTTAAAATGTCTGAATCAAAGTGACATGTCCCCTAAGAGTGTATAAGTGCCCAGAGCATGAAGATTCCGTAGTTTGTAGACAGGCCCAGGACCAGGGAATTTAGGTAAGTTTTTTCAGCAATAGCCAGCAGAATCCAAACATCCTTAATGAGGTACTGTGTGCAGCACAGCCTCCTAAACTACAAGCTTACTCTCAAAAGTGTAAGTTGACAAGGAGTAATGCTCCGGGTGCTCTTAGAGTAGTGGTAGAACTAGTGGCAGTAGTGGTGGTGGTGGTAATTGTTGCAGTAGTAATGGTGGTGGTAATAATGGTATAGCAATAATAGTAAAAGTAGTGGCAGTAGAAGTACTGGTAGTGGTAGTAGTGGTGGTGGTAGTATTAGTGGTAGTAGTGATGATAGTAGGGGTGGTAGCAGTATTGGTAATAGTAGTAGCATAGTAGTGGTGGTAGTATTAGTGATAGTAGCAGTAGTGGTAATAGTGGTAGTAGTAGTACCGCCAATAGTAATAGTGGTAGCAGCAGTGGTAACAGTAGTATTGGTAGTGTTGCCAAAACACTAGGGGTTCAGTCTAGGTCCTACTGCTCGCCACATGAATGCCAATCACTGAGTGTTTTAGGCTGTTCTTGAATTGCTATAAAGAAATACCTGAGACTGGGTAATTTAGAAAGAAAAGAGGTTTAATTGGCTCACAGTTCTGTAGGCTGTACGGGAAGCATGGCATTGGGCATCTGCTCAGCTTCTGGGAGGCCTCAGGAAGCTTCTCATCATGGTGGAAGGCAAAGGGGGAACAGGCATGTCACACGGTGAAAGCAGGAGCAAGGGAGAGAGTGAGAGGGAGTTGCCACACACTTTTAAATGACAAGATCTCGTGTGAACTCAGAGCAAGAGCACACTCGTCACCAAGGAGATGGCCGAAGCCCTTCATGAGGGAGTGACCCTCATGATCCAATCACCTCCCACCAGGCCCCACCTCCAACACGGGATCACATCTCAACATGAGATTTGGCAGGGACACAGATTCAAACTATATCACTGAGACAATGATTATTGCCAGTGAAGAAGACTATTCTGGTGCTGCAGCCAAGGAGATAGAAGATCAGTCTCAAATCCATCTCTCAGATTGATTAAAATTGGGGTTTTTATAGGATGAAAGCAATGTAACCATGTGTGGGAAAACAGGAATTAGGGAAGGGTAAGGAAAAGGAGTTTGTCAATAGGAAGCAGGTGGTCAGTTAGGCAATCATGATAGGTGAGGGTCTGGTACCTCACTGTCTAGATGTGGTGATCTGGGAAGTTTCAGTTCTTTGATGTTATCTGGGAGGCCCTCATGGTTAGTTTCCTAAGAAAAGGACTTAGATAAGACAAATGTAATTTTGTCAAGTTGTAAGACTGGGAGGGTCAATTTCTATGTTTATTCAAAAGAAACTATAAACATTAATTCTATAGGACAGTTGGGCCAGCATCAGTTGTAGTAGCTGTGGTAGATGGTGGTAGTGGTAGTAGTTGTGGTAGGAGTGGTGGTAGTAGTAGTAGTAGTAGTAGCAGCAGTGGCAGTAGTAGGGGTAATAACGGTAGTAGTAGTGGTAGCAGTGTTTTAGGGGCCTGCATTCTCCAGTATTTTCCTCACAGACCAGTGGCCACAACCATTTCCAGTTAAGTGTTCCGTTCCTGGTGGGCACCCAGCTCAGGAACACTGCACGTGTGTACTGTGAGTTGCCCCCCATCTGAAATATTCTTCACCTGCTCACCCTCCATTACTGAGCTGAAACTTCCACAACAAACCAACAGCCTCCTTGTGTTGGGAAACCGTTCCCATTACAGTAGATATTAACGAGCCCTAAATCCAATCTAACTGAATTTGGCTAATTCCTAAAGTTAGGATTTTCTCAGAAGTTGGCGTGATGGTGAAGAATCCCTTTTCTCTGGTACCCGTTATGGTTGACAATCAGTGAAGTTTTCTTGTGCAATTGCATGGCATTTAAACATTATTTTAGCATATTTTTGTGAACTAAATATACTATTTTGGAATTTGAATTTATCTTTTGGTGAGACATAGTAGCAAGGAAGAGGAAGTAAACAAAATCTCTCTAGTGAATTAAAATATAAAATGGTAAATGTCATCTCGATTTAGGAACCCTGTCGGCGGTTCAGAAGCAAAATGAGCTGCCCTGAGTTGGAGCCTCCATGGGACCCGCTTCCGTAGGCACAGGCATAAAGTCAGCTTTCTGTTGCTGAAGGCTTGGAAGAGGCTGCAGGAGAACACTGTAATCAGATTTGACATTCCGAACTGATGGCTGATGGGCTGTGAGGGCCGTGGCAGGGAGTGATTTCAGGGGCTTTAATAAGGCTTGGCAAATAAATGATCAGGTCACACTGTCACTGTGTGAATGCCAATGTCTTTCTCCCCAATCCATTCCCTGAGAGGACTCCAGGGCCAAATAGAAAATAAATTTAAAATGAACTGTGAACACTAAAAAATCTTTAATAGACTTTGTCCATGGAAAGTGATTCTTTTTTATAAAATTGCTTTAATGCCCATTTTCTTTGTGTTCATGAATATAAAGAGAAAACAAAACCAATAGCAAGGTCTCAGTATTTCTGATTTTTTTTTAAGTTTTGTGATTTAAGAAAAAAAAAGAAATCAAAGATACATTCCTTGCGAAGGCAACTATGGAATCTACACCCAAATCTCCAAATTATATTCATAAGTCAATTGTAACTAATTTTAGTATTCCTAAAAGAATGAATTTACAAATTGCTCTCAACCCTTTTAGCCTAAAATATAGGAAAATGTTACAGTCTCCAGGTAGGAAAAAAAACATGCGTCATTTTACAGCTGGATACCAAAGAGACTCAAATTTTTGATCTAAAAGAAAAAAAAAAATACAGAAGGAAAGTAAAAATAGACCTGACCTTTGAAGGCAGAAATTTCTTGTCTTTAAATTTGACTTTCATTTTCTTTCATTAAAATAAAAATAAAATAAAATAAAGAATGCCCCCTAATAGTCTCTTCTCAAGTTAAAAATACTGCACCACATCAAATTATTTTTGGAACCAGCCAAGAGAGGAAAGGGAGGAAGAAGTTAAAATACAATGCTATCATTTCTTATTGAAGTTAGAATTTTCATAACAATCTTGCCAATGTTTTTCGTCAATTACACTGACTGAACACAGTATATTTGTATCAAACGACATTGTTTGACCACTCAAATTAACCATGTAAAAATTACCTAATTCTACCTTTACTTCCTTATAAATTTTCCTTAGAGTTCCCTTGGGAAATATTTAACATACAGTAAAGATCCTGGGATTAAAGTTTTAAACCCCTCTGCCATCTAAGACTGTCTGTATTTCTATCCTAATCTCTCTTAGTACTCCCCAATTACACACAAAGGATCCAAGTCTGAACTGGTATGCCTTCGGTTCTACAGTTCTCAGTGTTGAAAATCTCCCTCTCCCCTGTCTTCCAGGTGATATTCATCCATTATCCAAAACCTCAGCCCAAGATCAAGGCTCCCTCTAGGGAAAAGATAGCTTGGCCCTGCTAGGAAGAATTTTCTCACTCTTCTGTAAATACTTCTGTGCAGGGTTTGTGTGGCTCAATATTGCATTTCCACTTCTTTCTGGTTTACCTGCCTTGGTTGAAGACTCAGGGAAGCAAAAAGCTGCATTCCCAGACATAGCTGCCAGGGCTCTGGAAGCGGTTAAAACGCAGTCAGATGCATTGTGTATGTATGGAGACTTGAGAGACTCTGACAGCCTGTTGAGTGCAGGTTCATATTCTATTATTTTTCATCCTGACTGTATAAAAGCCATCTGGTCTGATGTGGAAGAAAGAATGTGGCATTGGGAGTCAGGCAAGCCTAGATTGTATGACCTTGGTCCTCAACCTATGCAATCTTGCTGAAACTCAGACCTCTCATTCAACTAATAAAAAGGGTTAGGGGAATTAAATGAAGTAATATGAAAAATGCCTGGACTGTAGTAAGCAATAAAGATCATTGTTCTTATCTTTATCTCGCCTCATCTTCATATTCTAGGTGAAGTAGATAAGTGTGAATTCACTGCTGTATTTAGACCCCCACAAGATTGTCATTGCATTAAACCACCCAACAACTGCCTTGACTATTCCATGAATTTATCAGTTTGATGTCTTTCTTTAAGAAAAAGTATAGATTTGACCACAGAAACTTTCCTTGAGAGAACTGTATTAAAGAAATAATTAGAAATGCAGAAAAATATCTATTTGGAAACTTATTTTAATTATAATGGTGAAATATTAGAAACACTCAAGAACAGATAGGCTAATCCAATTATTATATACCCATCCAATGGATTATTACACAGTATTAAAATGATGTATTAAAGCATTCAAATGACAGGTAGCCACTCATAATTTAGCAACATTCATACAATATTCATTGAGCACATGAATCTCATAAAAGGATCAAATAAAATAAGCTGAATGGAAAGCTATTTAAATAACAGTTTAATCTCAATTATCTAAATACTATATATATGTAGAAAAAAGCATAGACGGATATATGCAAACATGTTAATAATGGTCAGCTCTGGTGTTCAGCTGTTCATCCTTGGTAATGGAATTATGTGGGATTTATATTTTATTCTTTCTAGTTTTTATTTTTCAGATTTTTCACACTGTGCCTATACTTGTAGTCAGAAAAAAATGTAAGTTAAAGTTTTATAAAATGATAATATGGATTTCCTATTACCTTGATTTTAAAAAAATATGCCTATAAAAACATATACATTTAGTAAAGTGGCTTTCTAGAATTTTCGTTGTATTTTCTCCTCCAAAGCACAAGCTCACAAAAGGGCTGGGAACATGTCTTTTCATGTTTAAATCTTAATGAAGACTCATCCATGTATTCCCTGTTCGTGGAGCTGTTATGGATTGAGTGCTGCTCCGCATCAGAGGTCATGCACGTGGATCTGGAGATTCCTGGATGATGAAGGGGAAGGTGCCAGAGCCTTTGGGTATGGCTTTGAAGTGGGAGAGACTGAGAAATCATTACCTTTCTTTGGCAGTATACCTTTAAGTCTGCACTCTTTAGATTTGAGGGCATTCTAAATCTTTCATCCAAGAAGACTTTGTGGTCTCAATTTGGAGCCGATATTAGGGAACCAGCCTTTGGAGCTGCGTGCATTAAATATGGGCTTACACTTGATGTCAAGGAAGCAAAATTTGCCTGATATCTAACATGCACTAATAATTCTGTACATGTGTATCAGCTCATTGATCTTTTTAGTACTTGATTTGGGGGTTGAATTGTAAATTTTATTATATCTTTTGAATGTGTTAAAATTTTTTTCATGATTAACAGTTGACCTTGTGGCTTCCTAAGGAGCTCTGGCCAAGCTGTGTCATGCTTTGAAAAATTTCACTGAGTTGTGGACATTGCTTCTGAGGTTATATTCACTGTACTACTGCTCTTTGGTCCTTTATGGGAAGCATCTCTTCAATAGCATCTTGCAGAGCTTGGCAGGACCTGGGGGAAATGCTCGTGTTTGGGAGTAGACCCAGAGGCTTCACCGTTCTGTACGTGGTGGCTTCTTTCCCTTCTGCGTCTGAGATACATAACACATTCCCCATCCTGGAATTCCAATTCCAGTGTTACAAGAACTTGTGTTCTACCCTTCTTTCTGACCTCGAAGGATACTTACAATAAATTCATGTGATTATTACTTTCTACGTCGTGTTGGTTAGTTTCTTAGGAAATCGTTGAAAATATATGCTTTACAGGAGTACCATTTTCTAATCCACTCTCATCCTATAACTATTTAAAAAATACATATCATTTTAGGAAGAGTGTGGCCTATAGATGAACCTCTGATCTGACTATTTGAGGCTTGTTTTATTGCTCTTAGATTTTTCCAAATATTTATCAAACACTGTTTATCTTTAACCCACACTAGAATAATACATGATTATTATTCTTAATACCTGTACATAAATATCACTTATAGGCATTAATTTTTATAGTACTAATAGGTTTGCATGTTCAGGAAGTACTGAGGATTAAAATAAAGGAATTCCTCTCATTTACCCAATATTTGAATATGAGATTTAAGATGTGTGTTGGATGCCAGACGAGGATATGTAGAATAACCATGGAGATAATGAAGGAAATAAGAAATGACTTTTGAAAAGACTGGTCAAGGCAACTACCTTATGAAGACTCAGCCTCAGGTGGGTATTTCACCGGCGTGGTTCCCACAGCCCGAACTCCATGCTCTTTTTCACATCTGCTTCCCCCTTGGAGAGGTGCTTTCTCTCTGGGAAGAAAGAAGGGGCTAGCCAAACTTCCTGGCGTGTGAGATGACCCAGAGTCACATTCTAATGCCTAGTCTGTGCAAATTGTGTCAACATACCATACTCAAAATGAGATTTTTGTAGTTAGCAATCTTCTAATTTTTGCAACGAGAAATTTCCGATAACAGCAATGTGGTAATACACTTCTCTAAATATTTGCAGTGAGCAAGTATGTATTGAGTGAACATACCTGATGCTATGTGGGACACTGTAGGAGAAATCATCATGCACCAGTGGGGAGACATCCTGTCACTGACACTGCTCAAGCTTACGCTAACCTGTAGAAAAACTCCACAGTATGAACAACCCTGGAGAGAAGGATAAATCATAGTATGAAACTGATAAAATTTTAAAAAGTCCCCTTCCAAAGAAAGAAACATTGAAATGCTCTATGGTTGTATTAAATTACTTTCAAGCACATTGTATCATTTGATCAAACTAAGTTGATGGTTCTCTAATCTTCTCAATCTGCATTCTTTGCACGTAATTTACATTAACTATAGCACTCTTATTTCAAACAGCAGGTGGGTAGACTGTGTAAAATTTAGCCTCCCTCCAGATTTCTATATGTTTGTGTTTATGCACTCAGCGATTTTTAAGCGTAAAATTGGCTTCTTATTTAAAGCCAAAGTGAGTGAATAGAATACTCATTGCTGCTCATTCTAACAGCCATGAGTCCAGCCCCTGGTAAGGCAATAGCTCTCACCTGTCTTTGTGAATATTATTTATATTGCAGCATTTGCTGGTATGGTTGGACCTTCAGGGATTGTTTAAGGAGCACAATGATTTCATGCGGTCTGCATCATCCAATATGAAATGTTATATACCTTGAAATATTTTTCCATAGTGAGAAGGTCTCCCTCCACTCCCTACACTTGCAAAGAACCATAGATACAGTTTTCTTTCTTTTATTTTAAGCTTGTTGCTACCTGAGGTAGGCAAGGAATGAGCTGCTTTGAGATGTTATAATAGATTCAATTGTGTCCCCTCAAATGATATTGAAGCTCTAATGCGCCAGTGGCTCAGAATGTGACCTTATTTGGAAATAGGGTCATTGAAGATATAAGTAGTTAAGATGAAGTTGTATTGGAGTAGGATGGGCCCTTAATCCAACATGACTGGTGTTTTTGTAAGAAGAGGGAAAACTTAAACACAGAGAGAACATGGCCATGTGAAGATAGAGGTGGAGATTGGAATTACGCTGCCATAATCCAGGGTCATTGAGGCCTACCAGAAGCTGGGAGAGAGAAGGGAAGATCTTCCCTTGAGGCATTGGAGTAGGTACGGACCTGCCAATAATACTGCTGGCCTCCAGAAATGGAAAAGAATACCCTGCTATCATTTAAACCACCCGGTTTGCAGTACTTTGTTGCAGCAGCCCTGGGAAAATAATGTGGATGCCACATCAGAAGGTGAAGCCAAGAGCACAGCACGGAATAGGGTGCATCAGCAATCAGCTAACCCAAGGCTATCCACCTTCTCTCCATGAATTATTCAGGTCTTATTTTTGTACCTGTCAGTTTTTAAAGGGAGATTGTCATCTCTTGATTGGCTATTACGGATCCATCTAAAATGGTTGCTGTCTAACAGCTGACTGATAGACTCCACACTTTTTACCCCTGTGCAGTGAAGAAGAGTCAAAAGAACAAAAATGTAGTTTTTGATTGAATACTAAGATCAGACTCATCCACCTGCTGAGCAGGTCTGAATACCACTGCACATGCAACTGGGCAAGCATAGTCAAAGGAGGCTTGATTAAGCAAAACGAAGCTGAGACAGCTCCAGCCTCTCCCTTGCCCCACCCTGTCCATGCGTGCAGCTCCCCCTCCAGGAGATTTGAAAGGGACAGGGTGGGGTGGTGGGGGAATGGATAGACACAGGATGAGCAGGTGACCAAGGAGGCTTATTCTCAATGATGCCTGATGAGAAGAAACACCCAGACTTGTAGCTCTGACCACACAATACGTCCTCTTAGGATACATTCTTTCTCATTTATTCCCCGTGTCCTCACGTCCACACCTGTTCTCTCACTTTTGCATCCTTCCCAAATCTGTGTTCTTAAGTTTTCTCTTCCTTGATGCATGAACACGTGGCATGGCCATTGGGTAGGAAGCAATGCAGGCAAACAAGTCGGCCAGTGTACATGAAGATTTCTCGAGAGTACTTGTCCATTCTGCGATGGTAACAGGCTATATCTTCTTTCAAAGACAAGAGTTTAGGGTGTGGTTTATCACTCTTTTCATTAACCTGAGTCAGATAAATCCAGATTCTGATGTACTTTATGTTTTAGATGGTAAGCTCTTTGTCAACTTGGTTCATATGGTTAAAATGATTTGGAGAATTTAACAAATAATTTAATCAATATACCTGGACAGTATTAATGATAAAAATCCTATTATGGTAATTCAGCATAGATTTTCTATAATCTATTGTGGTACTGGCCAAATACAGTGGATATCTTTGGAATGTGCCAGAAAGAAGTGGTGCCCACTAATCAGATGTCTTTTTTAGAACATTAGCTGTTTTTTAACGGTCCTCTTTTTTGTTATTTCTCTTCATAAAATATTGGCTATTTAAAAGAATATTCTCTAATTAAAATTTAATGTCAGGAAATGAAAGAAAGATGGTTTCAATGCTAGACATTTATAATGACTTTTGATTTCCTTGCTCAAATGACAAGTGAAGTTTTCTCAGCATGACATGAGAATAATTTATCAGAAGATATAAAAATGAGCAAAATGTACATTGGAGAAAACCCTTTTGTACTCTCAAGAAGAGAGCAAATTATCTTAAAACACGGGGGATTTCTATTCATCTTTTATGCAGGAATATCCTACTTTTATTAAATACATGTTGAATTACATTGAGGGAAAGAGTAAACTTACCATATTGTATCCCACCCATTTCTAAATGGCACAGGGTAGTTACACTGTACACTACATTTACTGTAAGAATTGCTAAGAAAAGCCAACATGAAATGAGCATGTTCTACCTGGAATTTATAAACAATTACTAAGTGGGAAAATGTGGGGAGAAAATACAGGGAATGAAATTAAAAAGCAAGATTTGCTTACCCAGAGTGGTGAATTTATACCACCCTACTCCAATAGGGTATGTGCATTTGAATGGATTGTAATAGGTTTTAGTAGGATTGAACACACTTTCCAGAATGTGAAGTTTGCAGTGCTTAGAGTTGTATCAAATATTTTCAAAGAACACAGCTGGTTTATCAGTGGAGGAGGGGGGGTTTAAAATGGCCTTAACTCCCGTGATTTTCCTATGAAGATTAAATAGAGTAATGACCATGACAGCCTTATGGAAACTGTAAAGAGCAAGGTCTGGTTTCTCAAACAGTAAAGAGATGCCTGCCAGGTTAAGATGTGGGTGAAATGGAATTTGTGGAAAAGTGTCAAAAGCACTAAAGAGATTGCTTTTCTTCACCCACAAATACAGCACGCTGACCTACCTCATACCGAGAAACACAGGACTTCATGATACCATCTGCTGTGATCTCCCTCCCATCTGAAATGCAATTGTCTTCCAGTGTTCTAGAGGCATCTAACTTTTTATATCAATCATATTTGCCATTATTATCACTTTATACAGTCATTATTTGTTTAGGGTTACTCACGCATACCTCGTTCTTTCTCCACCCTTCTTTTTGCATCTCATTATTGAGTACAATTTCTTTTCTGGAAGCACATCCTTTAGTTCCAGGCGCAAGCCTGCTATTGGCAAACTGTCGGTTCTTATCAATACTGGGAAATTTCCAAATTGTTTTCCCAAATATTGCTTTTCTGCCATTTTTTTCTACCCTCTCCTTGAACTGTGGATTTCCTCTATCTCTCCTTCAAGTCTCTTAACCTTTCTTTCATATGTATCTTTCTTTCTTCCATATGTTTCTTTTTCTCTCTAGGAAATATTCTGAGTAATTTCTGTAGATTTATTTTCTTGTTCACTAATTTTTCCCAACTGTGTCTAATATAAATATTTATGTCAAGGGTTATGTGTTTTATTTCTGCCCATTCTGCAAATATTTTATTGTTTATCTAATATTTGTATCTTTTATGATATACTCTTATTCACTTATCCTATTTTTAATTCAATTCTATAGTTTTGCAACATTTAAAATACTTATTGTGTAAACATTGTCGAGTTATTTCATTGTCTGAGGCCTCTATTGCTTCTTCTGACTCCTTTTTATGATAAATTGTTCTCTAATGTGTTAGAGGTTTGGTACTGGAAGCTCAAGATTGGAAGGGAGGAGTCAAGCTTCATCTGTAAACATTTCTCAGTGCTCCTTCCTCCAGGGAAGATTTATTTGTCTTTGCTTCTGCCAGATGTCCTTAGAAGCGAAGTCACTATATGTTATTTTCTAGAGTGAGGTCTACTGGACCCTGGAGACAGTGAGACTACAAATCCCAAACCAGAGCAAGGCCAGTACTATGGTTAGACATAATCCCTACACAAAGCTTAGGCTAGGAAGGCAAGGGTATTTGCAAAGGCTGTTTTTTTTTTTTTGGAGGTCCAATCTTTTAGTGAAGTTGTACTTTTCTGCAGACTTCTCTTGTGTAGGACTTGTGTAGGACTAACAGCCTTCCATTTCCTCATTGCTGTTAAAACTATGTTTTTTCCCCCTAAATGTGCAAATGTCACAGGGAAATTATAGGTAGTATCAACAAGATCTTTGCTGTTAGGTATTCACCCCCCCTCTTCCTTTATAGAGCCCAGAGGGCTTTCCTTACCTGAGAAACCTGCTGTTCATTTAAGTCAATGTTAGATTTATGCAGCTTGTCTAAGTTTCTTATACCTGGAGAGTTTTCAAAATAATTAGTTTTTTACATAGTCAGAAATGGAAGTTGCTACAACTCACTGCTGATTCACTGACTATATTAAACTACCTGAAAAAAAAATGGAAAAATAAGGTTCCAAATAATGTAATCTGACATACATTTCATGAGAGAAATGACCAAAACTTAATCCTAGAGGGAATTTTATCTTAAAATCCTAGAGGGAATTTTATCTAAAGAAAATTCATTAGATGGTTGTAAAGCAAAAATGAAATTAAAAAATAATATAAATAAACGTGGAGTTCAAGAAAAACGTCACTGTTTCCACTTTTAAGTGGAGAAGTAATTTGACAAATTTTCATTGAAAGAATTTTGCTGATCACGAGTTTCTATCAAAACCCAAGAAGTGTAAACATAGGAAGTGCTTATAGGTTAATAAAGCAAAAATCATGTGTTATTAACGAGGAAGTGTTAAGGTGGTGCCAGATCCACGGGCACTCACTATTTCATTTCTGGGAGCGTTTTTCAGCCTGCAGTTCCCACACCACGCGTGCCGTGGAGCTCTCTGTGCCACGCTGCGGGGCCTCGGTCTGACCAGCAGGGGGCACCGAGTGTTCTCCCGCAGCGGCCCGGCGTGGGCGGCGGCTCCAAGGCCGATTCCTCAGCACCAGGCAGGTGCCTTTGAAGCAAAGGGCGTTCATTCACATTCACAAAGGTCTCCGGAACAGCCTTGTAGGTTCTTCAACTGCCCTCAACTAAAGCTTCGGAATCTGAAAACCTGGGAAGAAGCTTAGTGTCCTGACAGTATTTTCCTTTTAATTTTGCAAAGTTTACAAAATCCATTAAGAATTGCTTTGCAATGAAAAATATACACATTTTTATACTTTTTGTTTTCAAGTGCTTCATTCCATTTATATTTAGCGGTGAGGCGGGCCTAGGCAAAAATGAAATAAAAGCACAGTGTTAAGATCTGCAAGGCCATTAAATTGCAGTGCACGTAATTAATGGACCATGATATTGCTTAAACACAAATGTACACTAATCTTGATCCAGCGGTACTAGTGATTTGTTGTTACAGGGCTAGATCCACCTAAAGCTCATGGTGAACACTTACAACCTTGCACAGAAAGTGACTGTGCTTGAAAGCACGAAGGCAAAATCCCATTGGCCAAAGATACCTTGTATTCCTAGCTGTGAATCGGTTTATCCTCTTTATTTTATACTTTGCATTATTTTATTACTTGGAAGAATTCACCCACTTTTTTCTGACAAAGGCTTATCAGATTTTTCTTCTTAAAAAAATATATATAAAGTTTTGAAGAAAAGACAAAGCATTGCAAAGAGCTGTCAGAGGGGGACGAGAAGCTTACAAAGTGAGCAGGTGGCACACAGCCTGTCTGCAGTGGTCATGTGAGAGCCAAACCCCTCAGCCACATTAACAGCCTACAGCATGTGCCAAGCCCTTAAGAAGTCACATAGCATTTCAGAGAATCCCACAAAACCAAAAACACAAATTCTGTCAATGCAATACATATATTTCTAGGTAGACGTATTAGTACGTCTCTTATGTGGGTGCCGAGGAATCTTGTAAAAGTTTGTGCAAAATTGACGTCAGTTTTACTGCTTGTCAGCAGTGAAATGAGTGGATTCATTGATTCATTCATTTGACAAACATTTAATGAACCACTACTCTGTATGTGTTCTAGGGACTGGGAATACAGCATTGAACAAAATACAGAACTAAATGCATGCTTGATGGAGCTTTTATTGCCATGGTTAGCATGAGTTACATTCATAAAATATACTTTATTTTCATTAAAAAGAATGAGCTAGATTTCTTTATATCAACATAGAGAGATCTTAAGGAAACATAACGTTGGATGGGAAAAGTGAGTTTTTCCATGAGAAATAGTAAAATACTTATGTAAGTTTGAAAAACAAAGAGAAAATACAGAACCATACTATGTGAAGTTCATTGTCACAGCTATGTGTGGGAGTGTGTGTGTAATAAAATAAAAAGTCGAAACTGGGAATACACACTAATATTTCTGATAATAGGGTTTTTTAGGAGAAAAATATAGGATGGGGAGGGAACAAAGAGAAAAATAAAGCATTTTCTGTAAAGTTTTATTTATTTCATTAAAAATAAATAAAGCAAATTACACCAAATGTTAACAATGATCAATTTTAAGAAATGGGTACATGGATGAGTATGTCATGCCTATGTGGGTGATTGGTACTTTTTCAGTTAAATAAATAAATGGCAGTTGGAGGAGGGACAGAGAAGGACATGGGGAGTGAGACCAAACAAGGATCATGATGAGACCAGAACTTCCCTAGAGGAGTGGCCCGTTGTGAGCCTGAGAGATCCCCTGTAGCGACACTGAGCAGAGCTCCCTGTGCCTCTTTCCGTCCTGGCCTCACGCTGTCTGGTTGGCTTTCCCGATCCGTCGTCCATCTCTGTTGTCCTGTTGTTGTTGTTGTGGTTTTGAGATGGGGTTTCGCTCTTGTTGCCCAGGCTGGAGAGCAATGGTGCGATCTCAGCTCACCGCAACCTCCACCTCCCAAATTCAAGCAATTCTCCTGCCTCAGCCTCCCGAGTAGCTGGGATTACAGGCATGGGCCACCATGCCTGGCTAACTTTGTATTTTTAGTAGAGATGGGGTTTCACCATGTTGGTCAGGCTAGTCTCTAACTCCTGACCTCTGATGATCCACCCACCTAGGCCTCCCAAAGTGCTGGGATTACAGCTGTGAGCCACCACGCCAGGCCTTCTGCTGTCCAGTTTTAGTAACAGCTTTAGCAACTGCCTTGCTCTGCTCTCAGCATTCTCTGTTTTAACCATCCCGATTTCACCTCTGCCTCCCTTATGTCTACCTTTTGTCTCACAGTCTGACAATGAAAATCATCTGCCACTATCCTAGCACCAACCTGTGGGCCTCCCTGAACTCCCACTTACCTGGGCCACGTCAGCCCTGCAGCCCACGGAGCTCCTCCAGGGGGTGCCTCTCCTGTGTTTCCTTGGCTGTGATCTCCAAGCAGAGGGCAGGCCAACTGCGTGTTTCCTAGTCCCCCTAAGTAGCTTCATCTTTCCCTCCTAGCAGTAGACCCCTATCCCTTTCTC
Organism: Homo sapiens; assembly: GCF_000001405.40. Lineage (NCBI taxonomy): Eukaryota > Metazoa > Chordata > Mammalia > Primates > Hominidae > Homo > Homo sapiens. Next base: position 523,627 of record NW_025791814.1, on the reverse strand, counting down.
TAAGAAACACTGTATAACCCACCTCTTCCAGGAAGCATCGTGAACACAGTACTTCTCAAATCTTTGTCATTCATGAACTATCTTTATGATATCTGCAATCATTGAATGCCATCTGTGCTAGTGTTTTTGTCCTTTGAATAATTCTTGTTTACTTAAAACAATGTAATTATAAAAAAATGCATTACTACTTTTAAATGGAAAATCAGTTTAACTAGCCATACAGATAAATGCAATACAATGAAAGAAAAACAATAATATTAAATTCTAGTCAGATACAATTGCCTTCCAAAGACTCTAAACCAGCGGTTTACTTTTCCTTTGTCTAAAAAAAAAGAAAAGAAAGAAAAAGGAGACTAAGAAGTGTTAGAGCAATAGTGAAGATAACTTACTTCTGCAAAAACGTGCTGAGAATTCTAGTGGAGGCACCTAAGTCAGTGAGTGGATAACTGGTACCTTCTGTGGCTTTCCCTTTGAAAGAATCACAAGAATTGAGATTTACAGAGGAGAAAAAGTCTCACCATGTGTCCGGATATCATTTCTCTATAGCGTCTTATCAGCTGCATACCATCAGTGGGTTCCACTCCATTTTAATTCATCATGGATATATCATTTTCTTTTCTTTTCTTTTCTTTTTTTCTTTTTTTAGAGGGAGTCTTGCTGTGTCACCCAGGCTGGAGTGCAGTAGTGGCATGATCTCAGCTCACTGCAGCCTCTGCCTCCCGGGTTCCAGCATTTCTCCTGCCTCAGCCTCCTGGGTAGCTGGGATTCCAGGCGCACACCACCACGCCCGGCTAATTTTTGTATTTTTAGTAGAGACGGGTTTTGCCACGTTGGCCAGGCTGGTGTCGAATTCCTGGCCTTAGGTGATCTGCCTGCCTCAGCCTCCCAAAGTGCTGGGATTACAGGCATGAGTGACCTGCCCAGCCAGATATATCATTTCCAATCTCTCTTTACATCAGCGCTTACGTATATCCAACTGACACTGTTTGCCTCTGTTTTGCAATTGTTTGCACTTTTACTTTATGGTATGTTTCCTTTCCTTCTCATTAGGAATTAGCCTTTTAGGTAACTTGGATTCCATTACTAGGTCTGCATATGATGGGCAGTTGCTACATGATTTTATTAATACCATTTTGTTACAAAGGTTATTGCAAGGCAATGGAGTTTGTGATAAGCTAGATCTGGGGAAGTCATTTAGGGAATTGAGTTACTCTCACAGTGCAAGGCTCTGTGACATGAAAGACAGTCTCAAAGATTCTCATGGGGTCAGACTATTTGAAACCAAAAGGCAGTGGAGTGGGAGTGACACGAGGGACCGCATCTGACATGGTTTCTACCCTTGCGTGTTCTTGTAAGTATACATATTTGCATGTACATTTGTATGGATAGCTCAGTAAACTCATTATAGTTTCCTTTGACATCATCACGTGTCATTGGGAAACAAATGTAATCCAAGACCTTCAAATGATGTTGCAGTTTTAAAAAAATAAACTGCTTTCTCTGCTATTCCCATTATAAATGCAACCAAGCCTATGGCCTTATAGACTTGCTGGTCTCAAAGCATGTGTTTGAGGTGGGAAAAAATGTGTCATGTCCAAGGAAATGATACAAGATATACTTTGAAAATAGAACTGATAGGACATAGAATTGGCCTGAATGTCAGGATGAGGCAAAGGAGATGAGGACCAAGGCGGCTGCTAGGTCTTGGTGAGGAGCCCTGAACAGGTGAAGAGTCCCCCTACCAGGAATAAGAACTAGGGGACTTGCTAAAGCAGGAATCTTTAATTTAAAATGCAGAAATATTTAAAGAGAGAACTTTAAGAATCCAAGGTATACCAGCTGATGCTAAAAGACGATTAGCCTTGCTTTGAAACGGAAGCCTAGTCAGAAAAGTAACAATTCCATCACTAAGATGTTGAAAAAGGCTCTTCAAACATTTTTTGCTCTGACTCACAGTAAGAGATACATAGAATAAAGACATTTTATCTTAGAACTCAGTAATGCATACACATAAATACACACATAAATATACAAACACACACATAACTTTATGTATGCACAGGTGTACTGAAACAAGCTGCAGAATATTTATCACCACTATTTGATACACACTGATACATTCTATGCTCTTTTATTTCATTTTTTTAAAAAGTAAAGCTGCAATCCATGAAACTGATTTCACAACCTATTAGTAGGTGAACCCAAAGTGTGAAAAACCATTATCCCATAATATTAAGTGGCCACAACATAGTGTTAGTTTCATTCTTTATGGTGGTTCCTATTTTTCCAGATTCTTTCCCATAATCCTATGCCATCTGTATCAGGTAGACAAACTTTACAGTTAATTTTCAATGTGTTTTGCCAATAAGCCCAGTGTCTTAAATTCCTTTTGGGTTGCTAACACAGACCAGGTAAGCATAGTCACTGTGGGTTGAAGTGCCGTGCTCTGACCTTCCTTCACTTATTTTTTCCTTTTTGTATGTGTTGCTTTTTAATCAGCACTGTATTGTGCACCCACAACTGGAACAGACAGTCAACCTGAAATACACATTCCCTTCCAGCCCCAAAATGCAGAAATCTTGTGGGACAGTAAATAATGCTGATGTACCTCTTCTAAACATGAGTCCGCCTGATACAACGAGCACATCCAATAGCATTCTCTTCCTTCCCCTTTCCATATCTCTATAAAGGGCTACTTTCAATTCCCCAAAGTCCAAAATAAGTCAGCCATGGACAGCCAGTGCCACACCCCGTGGTTCTTATTCCTGGCAGGAGGACTCTTCACCTGTTCAGGGCTCTTCACCAAGACCTAGCAGCCACCTTGGTCCTCATCGCCTTTGCCTCATCCTGGCATTCAGGCGAGTTCTATGTCCTATCAGTTCTATTTTCTTTTTTTTTTTTTTTTTTTTTTGAGACGGAGTCTCGCTCTGTCGCCCAGGCTGGAGTGCAGTGGCACGATCTCGGCTCACTGCAGGCTCCGCCTCCCGGGTTCCCGCCATTCTCCTGCCTCAGCCTCCCGAGCAGCTGGGACTACAGGCGCCCGCCACCACGCCCGGCTAATTTTTTGCATTTTTAGTAGAGACGGGGTTTCACCGTGTTAGCCAGGATGGTCTCGATCTCCTGACCTTGTGATCCGCCCGCCTCGGCCTCCCAAAGTGCTGGGATTACAGGCGCGAGCCACCGCGCCCGGCCTCAGTTCTATTTTCAAACCATATCCTGTGTCAGTTCCTTGGATATGCCACAGTTTTTCCCGCCTCAAACATACTTTTCCTTTAACCTTGTTCTTAGCTCTACTTATCCATGAATAATCCCTTCTTATCTTCCTACCTTCTGTGGCTCTGCTGAAGTGCACGTCCTCAGAAATCCTTACATACACACCCCACTCCAAACCCCCACCATCTAAACAGCTCTTCTCTTTACTAGAGTCAACTTCTGTTTCTCAATTCATGTAAATGCATTTATGAGAGTGGATTTATTTTCTTTGTCAATGTACTCTTTTTGTCTGTGTTCCCAACTGAAATATTTGCTTTCAAATGTCAGTGGCCAAAACCATCTTGTTCATCGTATAAATAAATAAATACAATTTATAAGTTTTACGAGCTTCTTTGGTTCTTTAATAAAAAATTCTTGAAGTGATTCATTTAAAAGTAAAGGAATTATACAATTATATTCTTTCTAAGGATTCATTATTTTAAACAACTAGAAATCTAACTAGAGCAAAGATTAGTGACAGACTTGAATATCTGCACAAAGATCTGATCATTAACAAACTAAATAGGGTAATTAGGTATACAGTTGGAATGCAGTATGCAGGCTTAAATTAGTAGTGTATAATTGAGCCTCATTTAACTGCAGGAGAATTTCACTGAGAGAATTTTATTTACATAAAAGAAATGTCTTAGTGAAATTGCTTTGAGAGAATTTAAAATATGTACACCAAATCTCTCCTTACATACTGGATCCAGCAGAATTGTAAGCTTATTCCTCATGCCCCATGTGATGGTGTTATTTCTAGCCAAATGATTTCTTCCAGGCGGCTCAAGATCCACGCTGGGGCTTCATTATTTCTTGGATATCTTGATGATACTCTCATAAACATAATAGGCTCCAAAGAAGGTTAAATAAAATGATATGGTGAGAGCTCTGCCCCCTCAATATGATCCCTTATTTTACTGATCCTATTTTTAGAAAAAAACTCGAAGTATGTATATCTTCTAAACAGTCACTTAATTTAGCACTGTGCAAACCTTTGGGGGCAGCAGGTAAGTGGGGCAAACAAGAGGATCCCTTTGTCTTCAGAGAGGCAACTGCCATTTTGAGGAGGCAGCTCTGACACCCAAATCAACTGGACTGATGCAATTATGTGTGAAATGGGGAATTATCACAGAAGTTCAGGAAGAGACAGAGATCAGCTACATGGCAGATTCAACTTTTGTGTGAGGTATTTGGAGGGGAGGGAATACAAAGACCAGGGTGAATATTGAAAGTCTCCCCTTCTGCTTTTAGGCAAGTCCAGGTAGCGACCAGCTTGAAAAGCAAGCATAATAAAAGCCCTCTTTGACGCATCTACTCCCGACAGCAACATCATCCTAAATTTATCTCCTTCTATGTTGTGTGTTACATGGGTTTGGTTTACGTCTACTGTGTCCATATGCTCACCACCCACTGACATCTTTTTCCAAAATACATTTTAACTACCCAAGAAGCACATTAATAGAGTCTTCTTTTAAGATACTCAAATACGTGACAGTGGGAAATGAAACATAATTTCTCCTCCCCTTCCTCTAATCCACTCATGATTTCAGAGGCAACCACAGTTAACATTTGGGCAGATATCTGCTGATCCAGGCCTCTCTGTTCATTTGCATACACAAATTTATTCATATACCACTGCCTTTGGTACATAACATTACAGATTGTTATGTAACCACTTTAGACTATGTAGTGGAGATTTTTCTGCAGGGTATGTGTACATATACCTTACTGTCTTTTATGTAACTGCAGAGTATAGATGTACCCTAATTTATTTACTTATTTATCCCTTGATTGGCATTCAGGTTTATGTATAAGTTTTCATTGTTGGCCGGGCGCGGTGGCTCACGCCTGTAATCCCAGCACTTTGGGAGGCCGAGGCGGGCGGATCACGAGGTCAGGAGATCGAGACCATCCTGGCTAACACGGTGAAACCCCGTCTCTACTAAAAATACAAAAAAAATTAGCCGGGCGTGGTAGCGGGCGCCTGTAGTCCCAGCTACTCGGGAGGCTGAGGCAGGAGAATGGCGTGAACCTGGGAGGCGGAGCTTGCAGTGAGCCGAGATCGCGCCACTGCACTCCAGCCTGGGCGACAGAGCGAGACTCCGTCTCAAAAAAAAAAAAAAAAAAAAAAAAAAAAAAAAAAAAAAAAAAAAAAAAAAAAAAATAAGTTTTCATTGTTAAATTATGCATCCGTGCATTTGGGGGTGAACGTCAAAGTGTGCACTTCTGAGTTTTTCCATAGGATAATCTTTGACGTTGCAAGAGGGATTGAAAAGTATGCAAGTCTCACACTTGAAATATACTGGCAAGTTGCCCTTCAAAAATCAAAAGGCTTCACCAATTTACATGCCCACCTATAGAGGTTTTTATTTCCCATACCTTTTGTCAAGACCACTTATTTTCAAACATTTTATTTTTTGTTCTAATCTCCTGTATGAAAAGAATCTCTCATTTTAATTTACATTGATTTGTTCAAGTTCTAAGTAAATTTTGTTCAGCAATTAATTAAAACGTAATTCATTTCACTTGTGAAAAGGTGACATTTTTGCAATATTAAGTTGACTAATCCTAGATTTGGATATGCCTCTTCATTTATCCAGGGCTTCTATTATGTCATTTGGTAATGACGTGGAGTGTTCTTTAACTCAATTTTGTGCATTTCTAGCTCTTAGACACTTAATATTTTTATTGGTTCAGCAAGAATATTTTATCATATTTTATTACAGATTAGAGCTACTCTAAAGTGCTTTTCTCTGTCAGGTTCTTACATGGATGTTCTTATTTAATATCATGATTTTCCCAAAAAGGCAATATTGCCCCTTTGTACAGGTTGTATATGTACTCAAGGCTATGGCAATAGGAAGGCAGGGAGCTGAGGCCCTTTGCAGCATCCTTTAGAAGTCCTCTCCTCCCCTGGCTTTCTTAGCGCCACACTGGCTTGTGTCCTCCATGCCTCCTCTCACTCCTTTCCTGGGTCTTTTCTTGGCCTTCTTCCTTCACTCGCCTTCCTTCACTCCCCTTCCTGGGGAGTTACTAAACTTCAGTTCTCATGAAGGGCTTCTCCTCAACAAGCATAGTTTGGTCTCCAACGCCCTGTCTGCAGCTTGACTTTTTTGATTTTAACTGACTCAGCATGCTCACAGCTGAGCTCTTATCTTTTCTGAAACAGAATCTCCCCTACCCCAACTCCTTTGTTCTACCAAGGCCACCCCAACCCCATAGGTCCCTCAGAATCAATACCTGGCATCTTCTTCTCCTCACCCCAGCTCTGTTGAACCTTTAGGTTAAATTTCTTTCTGTGCTCATGGCTTCTGCCCCACTCTGGTTGTACCTCCGCTTGCCCATGCCTTGCCGTCTCACACTTGTGCCATGGCCCAAACCCAGGGGAGCGATTTGCGTGAGGGCATGAGCCAGCAAGCCAGGGCACCATCCTGGCACAGATACTTCTAGTTGTATAAACTGGGGCAAGTCCCTGAACTTCTCTGTTTCTCAATTTTCTCATCTGAAAAATGGGAATAACAGTATCTTCCTCTTGGGGTCATTGTAAGAACTAAATGTGTCATAACATAAATAATGCCGAAAGCAGTGGTAGCCTCCACCTAGAACCTGTTGGCTCTGATTAGGATTCATGTTAATATCCATGTCTCTATCTAAATTTTCCCTTTTTATAAGGACACACCGGTCACATTGGATTAGGGGCACACACTATCCAAGTATGAGTTCATCTTAAGATATTACATCTGCAGTGACTGACCCTATTTCCAAATAAAGTCACATCCCGAGGTACTGCAGGTTAGGACATTAACATAAATTTTTGAGGAAGGGGGAAATTCAGCTCATAACGTCAGGTTAGATGTCTTCTCTTTAGGGGGCTCTTCTTTTCTCTTATATGCAGCTTTCAACATGTGCATATTTTTATCTGGCAACTCAATTGCTCAGGAAATATCTGTAGCTCGTTCATGCCTGCATGTAATCCTTTATATATATCATATATATGATATATAGATATCTATATAAGATATATATGATATATATGATATATAGATATCTATATAAGATATATAGATATCGATATCTATATAAGATATATAGATATCGATATCTATATAAGATATATAGATATCGATATAAGATATATAGATATCGATATAAGATATATAGATATCGATATAAGATATATCGATATCTATATAAGATATATAGATATCGATATAAGATATATAGATATCTATATAAGATATATAGATATCTATATAAGATATATAGATATCTATATAAGATATATAGATATCTATATAAGATATATATGATATAGATATATATATATCTTCTATTTCCACTTCTATTTTAGTTAATGCTAAGAGGATCATGTGGTTTCTAATGCTATATACTTAGAACTTAGATTTAATTCTTATGTTCCTCTAATATTTCAGAAACTGTTATTGAAACGGCTTTGAAGAAAGCTGAGTTTCATGACACAGTGTGGCCATCAATTGGCGACGGCAGGCGCAGCTGAGAAAAGCTTCATCGTGCTTGTGCTACCATTTAACATCTTATTAGCAGAGCCATCTCTTCTTTCAATTGCTATTAACTCAATTCATATAGACTGCAATAGGAAAAACACAACAACAAGAGCTCTAAGATATATTTCTCTAAGTGAAAAATGACATATGCTTTTAAAATCTTCCCCCAAATAGTATTGCCTTTACTGAAGATCTAACAGCTTAACCACACAGTAAAAAGCCAGGGAGCATAATGAAAGAATAATTCATCACAATCTTAAAATATGCTCATTTTCATATAAGAATATATTCATCTCTGGAGGAGAACAAACTCTTTTTATGCAGTCTACATGAGGAAATGTGCCGAAATCTAAAAAAAGGTACTTTAGCTTTCTTTTTACTGAGACCTAGGAAAGGATGTTTTGAATACAAGCAATAATAGACTGTTTCATCCACCCATGCATGCATTCAACAAATATTTTAGGATGTCATAGCCAAGTACTGTTCTATGTAATGGAGATGAAATGTTGAACAAGACAAAATGAGTTCTTGCTATTCTAGATGAAGGAGGGAAATGTTAAACCAATCTCATGCACATGTACAAGATAACGTCACATACAGGTATAATAAAACCAAGTCTCTCATCATGAATGACCATGATCATGTGACTTTGCTGGAAATTTGACTTAAAAACTGAGGCCAGGATGACAAGAAGGACCCATCCAGGGAGAGATCTGGGCTCAGAGCCTCCAGTCAGAGCAATTAAAAGAAGTACAGCATGGCCTGGGTATGGTGGAAGAAGGAGAGAGTGGAGTGGAAGCTTTTGGAGATATGGCCAAAGCCCAAACTATCATAGACCATCATAAGTGGTTAGGTCTAGTGGGATTCCATCAAGGCACTAAATGATGTATATTGCTAAATGCTCATGCATGTTGAATAGAGATTAAATTGTAGGGAAGCAGAAGTGGACACAGAGAGTTTGAAAGCTACAATCCTTAGATGTGTGTGGTACAGTGTTGAGGGAGGAAAGTGGATGGATTCAGGATATATTTTGGAGGTAGAAGCAGAGGGCCTTCCTGTTAGATAAAATATGATGGACAAGAAATGATTAATTTTGAGAACTTCAGGATATTTTTTTTATACTCAGATACTAACAGATATGCCAGGGAGAATTGTTCAAGTAACATGATAATGATTTTGGGGAAAGTCCCTGAGTTTCTGTGAATATCCATTTCTACTGTGGAAAAGACTTCTGAAGATAATATCTTGGTCAGCTTGGGCTACTATCACAAAATAGCATGGACTGGGAGGCTTAAACCACAAAAATTTATCTCTCACTGTTCTGGAGGCTGGGAAGTCCAAGATCAAGGTATTGGCAGATTTGGTGCCTGATGGGGGCTCCCTTCCTGGATTGCAGACAGCCGCCTTCTCACTGCGATCCCACAGGGCGGAAAGAGAAAGTGAGGTCTGGTCCCACCCTTATAATCACACCTATACCTAATTACTTCCCAAAAGCTTTATTTCCAAATACTGTCATATTGGGGATTAAGAATTCATCATATAAATTTTGTGCAGATGCAAACATTCAGTTCATAGCAGATGTCTGTGATCCTCCTTTCCCCAAGCCTTTCACTGGGGTATACAAAAATACTCCATGGACTCAGTATATCTTTCTATGTTTACCAATGCTCTGTCATGTGACATTGGCTCAGAGGTTTAGTAAATATTTTGCCTGTGGTGAAATAGCTCCAAATGGCAGAATTATGATGTAAAATTCATCTACATCATTACCACTCAGATGCTTTCTTTAATATATGCGGTTGCCTTTCATAAGTAAGCAAACAAGCAATTGAAAGGGGGCCCTGCTATGTTTATGTCAGTGGGATCTTCCCTGTCTGGCTCACAAAGGCTACATTTTATACACCTGTGGATTGTCCAGAACAGCAGAATAACAAACATGGCATTTACTAGGATAGATACCAATTTAATTTTTTATTTATTAATATTTTTTTCAATTGAAAAGTTATATACATTTATTGGGTACAATGTGTTGATTTTGTATGTGTCTATATATACACACCTATGTGTATACACGATGTGAAATGATTACATCAAGATGATGAACATATCTACCACCTCACTTATCCCTTTTTTTGTGATTTGAAATTTACTCTCTGAGCTATTTTGAAATATAGAATACATTATTATTCAGCTTAGTCACTCTGCTGTGCAGTAGATGCATGACTATCTGCTAGATGACATAAATGCATTTTAATTTGATCTTCAACAGCAGAACAAAGAGATTACTCATCATCTCTCTTTTTTCTAGATGAAGAAAGCAAAGTTTAGAGTTAAATGACTAGACTGAGGCCACACAGCTGGAAAGGGACAAGGACCGTTTTGTAGTTCAGATCCACTGGCTTCCAAAGCCCAGGTTTTTTCTTCCACACTGAGAAATCTCTCAAAGTGGATGAGCTTATTGCACCTCAAACCAGGGAAAATCTTTTAATTTGATTCTTCATAAGAACAAGAAAAAGTTAGCTGAGAAGATTGAACAAGCACATTAATGATGAGGACTTTAACATATAAAATTAAGTATTTGTATTAGAATAACACACAAGGATAAAAGCAGGTATGGGGATAAATACCAGTTTTCCTCCCTGGGTATCAGTAGCCCCTTCATCCCAGGGAGACAAGGACAATGCCACTTCCTTGATTGCTCTCCAGGTTCTTCCCTTCTATCCTTTTTCCTCAACTTCTTGGGATGTTCCTAAACCCAAAGGCTCAAATCTGTTTAGATTATAAGCTCCCTAGAGATAGGGGCTGTCTCTCTCCTTTTTGCATTTCTGGAGCCTAGGACAGTGCTGGTCCAACGAATGGGTGCATCACTTGGCTCTGTTTCCTGACCACCTATAACACCTGCTGGTTTCTAGAATCAACTCTGATGTGCCTCTTTCTGGAGATCATGCATGCCTGCTTTCTGCGGCTCAGATCTTAAAGATCTGACTTTCAGCATTAACAACCCATAGTTCAGCAAAATAGATTTCTAGAACTGCTGCTATTTTAATATCTGCCTTTGAAGAAAACCCAAAATGGTGTTGTGCCTGAGTTTCAGAACCCACTGCTCTATGAGTGTTTTTTGCGGCTCAGCTCCGTGACAATGGGAAGAACGTGGCTGTAGAACTCCAAATCTGAGGGTTTCTGCAACATTTTCCTACTGGGCTAATGCCCCATTTTCTTTGGTAGTTTTGTGTCCCTACATAGAAATATCCCACTGGCCCCTATGCTAATCTTAACCAGGCTGACTGAACTGACACCAAGCGCTGGATTTATTTTAGTGGCACTAACATGTAAGCTCATGTTAACTGATGTTGGAAAACCACTATGTTACTTGCTCATAACCTATTTACTCTTAGTTTATACAAAGTCCTAAAAGCCTTGATATGTCTGTTTTCTAACTCTCAGCATACTGAATGCATCACACTGTGTGTTGACAAAGATACTGATAACAAAGGGAAGTAACATATAACAGCTGGATAGTAAAGGAGGAAGCAGAAAAGCTAATAAAGACAAGCTCAGAGACTTGAACATCTGGCAGTCTGGGACCATTCCATGCATCTTGAGATGCCACATAGCTTCTGAGACATCCCTCTGGTAACTGAGCAGCATGGCTCAATAATCGATGTCCAAAATGATGACTCAAAATCCAAAAATCATTCCCTGTTCAGTAGGCTCTAAATTGCAGTGTGTCTAACATGACAAAAAGTATGAACTATGTTTTAGAACTGTGTCCGGTTAAAATGCTAATAGTATTCCAAGGAAAATAAAACAGAAAGACACACAAAGGGAGACAGAATGAGACAGAATTGTGTGTTTGCACTTTTTGCTGCCAATAAATTGTATTTAAACATTTGCCTATTTTAACAGAAGCACATCCATTAATCCCATTGAAGGACATGAACAAACCATTTAATCCATATGACATGGAAACCTTTGGTGGCATAAGGTAGCAAGTGGGGTACAGTGGCAAGTTAGGGAGCAGTTAAAATGATTCCTTGTTACCACAGGGCTGACATATTTGGTGCTCTAATGACTTAGCTGTGTCCTTGTTGTCCCTTGATAGTTCCACAGGACTCCTGAGTTGAGACTGTACCCAAGGACCCTGGACTTACCTGTTCCTCTCATAATTAAAAGATCCTACTTTTCAACCTTATTTTATGTTTTAAAATGTTGATCAATTTCAAGATGAGATAAATTGAGAAATGAAGGACTAGACAAAGGAGGTCAAATTAACCCATTTATGCCTGAGGTTGCAATTTTTTAAATTTTTGCAATCAGACCTTGGCAATGACCTTGAGCAGCAGGAAATAAATAATTGCCACATGCTTAGCGTTCCAATAATGAAACGCTAGGCTTAAATGGGTTTACGCACAGAAACTCAGTTAATGTCAACTCCTTCATTCCTGTAAACATCTCAAAAAATGCTTAAGACAATCAAAGGTTCAAGTTCTTCTGAAATGATACGCCCTAAAGCCTTATTTAACGTAAGTGGGTAAACGAAAAAAATGTTAGATATTACAAGAACAAAATGTTCCTAGAGAATAGAGCCCTCTCTGGAATCAGTAATAATGCAGGCTGCTGCTATCTGTGTGCATTTCTCAACCTTTCTGGAAAATGGCACACAAAATCCTTCCCACTTGTATTTTGCCACCACTCATGGCCTATCAATTCTAATGAAAATACTCCACGCTAAGAAGGTGACAGGAATTACATACATCATCTTTTTTTTTTTTTGACTTTCCTTTCTGTCTATCAAACTGTACTTTAAAGGAACTGATTATTAAAGCATTATGTAAGTATGCAAAATATATTGAAAGAGAAATAATGTTTCCATTATACACAATGTGTATCATAAGAAAGGCTGGTGTGTGATGACACATGACAAGTGGTAAAAGGTATTTTTAGTTGCTTTCATTTTGGGGAATAATAAAGCAAAATTATCTGGAATATACAGCATTAGGAGATTTTTCAGCTTCTCTAATAGCTAGCATTATTTATGGCATATTTTAAACTAAATGTCTAACTGGAATTGTTTGGAAAGTTAATATAGATATTACTTTAAAGATATTTTATACTACCTTTAATAATTAATTTGCGCTCCTTTGAAAAGCTTATACAAGGTCAGTATTTGCTCTGTTATTTTATGATCTTTTTCACATCTGTGTTCTTTGGAATTACTCCTAACTCATGATAATTCATAAATCATTTTTAGGCTGGGCATGGTGGCTCATGCCTGTAATCCCACTTTGGGAGGGATTACACTCCCTGGCACTTTGGGAGGCCAAGACGGGTGGATCACTTGAGCTCATGAGTTCAAGACCAGCCTGGGCAACATGGTGAGATCTCGTCTCTATAAAAAAATACAAAAATTAGCCAGGTGTGATGGCCCACTCCCATAGTTCCAGCTATTCGGGAGGCTGA